>NC_000015.10:91138247-91289762 GCF_000001405.40 Homo sapiens | reverse complement strand
AGCATGAGATTTAGGGAGCAGGTAGACTTCTGGCCAAAGAAGCCCAAACAAGTCCCTGAGGAAAGCCTGGGGAAGAACTGACCTCTGGTTGGTGGGATACAGCTCCACTGTGATCACATCCAGAGCATTCCAGGCTGCAATGCTTGTCCCACAGAACAGGCACTGCCAGCCGATCATTGCAGACTCACTGTTGCCAAAAAACAGGAAGAAGCAGCAGACTGCAGAGATTAGCATGGAGCCACCTGCAGAGGGAGTTCAAGGGCAAAAAGAAACATGAGGCCTGTGTCTTGCACATGGCTGTCACTCACAGTTCTTGCCCCATCTCCCACCCTCACTGGTACACCTGAAGCCAAGGCTGCCTGAAGTATTAGGTTCACCCTCCACACAGAGAGAGCACAGCTGGAATCCTCACAAGGCACCCCAGACATGGCATTAGAGCCCTCTGCGTGGGTCAGATCACCAGACTTAGGAAGGATTCTGAAGTCACCACTCTAAGGTGGTGCCCAGCTCAGAGTGACGGGACGGGGCAGATAGGGGCATTTGTTGAGAATCTATTATGTACCAGACATTGTTCTAGGTGCTTGAGCTACATCAGTATTGGCCAAAAAACAAAAACAAAAACCTCAGTCTTGATTTGAAACCAGGATGTCAAAGAGATCTGTGCTTCTTGTTCAATGTAGCAATATTCACAATAGTCAAAATATGGAGTCAACCTAAGTGGCCATCAACAGATGAGTGGATAAAGAAAATGTGGTTTACATACACAATGGGATACTACTCAGACATTAAAAAGAAAGGAATTCTGGCCTATAATCCCAGCACTTTGGGAGGCCAAGGTGGGTGGATCACTTGAGGTCAGGAGTTCGAGACCAGCCTGACCAACATGATAAAACACTGTCTCTACGAAAAAGACAAAAAGTAGCCAGACCCGGTGGTGCACACCTGTAATCCCAGCTACTTGGGAGGCTGAGGCACGAGAATTATTTGAAGCTGGGAGGCAGAGGTTGCAGTGAGCCGAGATGGCGCCACTGTACTCCAGCCTGGGTGACAGAGCAAGACACTGTCAAAAAAAGAAGAAAGAGAAAAAGAAGGAAGGAAGGAAGGAGAGAGAGAGAGAGAAAGAAAGAAGAGAGAAAGAGAGAGAGAGGAAGGAGAAGAAAAGAAAGGAATTCTGCCATTTATGACAACATGGATGAACCTGGAAGGCAGGATGCTAGATACAGTCCATGGGGTAAACCAGGCACAGAAACATCTGCATCATCTCACTTTTCGAGATCTACTACACAGCACGGTGACTACAGTTACTAACAATGTATTGTATATTTCAAAATTGCTAAGAGAGTAAATTTCAAATATTCTCACCACAAAACATATATATGTGTGGTGATGGATATGTTAATTAGCTTGACTTAATCATTCCACATCGTATATATGCATGAAAATATCACATTGTACCCCATCAAAATATACAATTATAATTTATCCATTAAAAATAAAAAAATAATTTTTTAAAAAAATCCATTCTCATGGAGCTTATAACCTGGTGAGAACACACCTGTACATGGGCTATTGAAGGGAAACCTGAAGAAAGGCGGTGCTATTCCCCATTTACCCGAATCCCCACCCCAGAGATCTGACTTGCCCTTCTCAGCCCTGCGCTATCCTCTGTACATGTGCTCTGTACATACCCTCTACACGCTAACCCCATGGACTTTCTTATCAGTTGGGAGGGGAAGGTGGCTGGAGTACCCCTCCCCAACTCCTCCCCGGGGGTAGAAGGCCTTTTCTGGCAATGTCTGCATCCCTCCAAGACCCCAGTTCCTCCCAGGTAGCTCTTGCTCCACGGCTCCAGCCCCCATGGAGCTCTGTGAGTGCAATTATCCCCCCTTGTCCTCACAGCCATAGAGGTGGTGACTGCTTCTCACTTTTGCTAGTGTCTGGGTGCCTCACCTGCCTTATTTGTTTCCATAACCCTTTCCACACCTCTAAAAGCTCTATGAGTAAAGTTTCCTCACTAGAACTATCTGGGGTGAATCCCTTTTCCCCTCCAGGAATCTAAGTATGCAGTCCATGAGGTTAGCCTCGCAGGGCTCCCAGCAGGGCGGAGAAGTCCAGCTCAGAACTCTGGGGTGGGGATGGGAGTGAACAGAAAATGAGCAGCACAGCCCTTATAGAGCTGATAGGAGATCCCATCCAAAGAAGACTGTCAAATGCTGCCCAATTCCAGTAAGTTCAGCCCGGAGGACCTTGAGATGCAAGCTCCAAGTCCAAGGTGGATGCAGAACATGGCAAAACAGGTTGCAGACTAGAAAAGTGACTGGCAATGAGGTGGAAATAGGGTGAGCAGAAAGGTGGGAAGGAAGCAGGTCTCAAACAACCAACCGGGACACAGGGCACGAGTGCCCCACCAGGCACCAGGACCCTGCAGGAGGAAGGTTTTCCAGTTGTCAAGAAGCCAGAGGCTGACCTGGCCTCAATAAGAAACACCTCCCCAGGGACGGTCCTCAGCCCGGAGTGTCACCCTCAGACCTGGGGCTGCAAGACTAGTGCCAATCCTTGCTGATGAACTAGGAAATGATAACTGTCCAACTGGATTCTGCCCACTTTGGGAAGTGGTAGGGCTGTGAGCAGGTGCCTGGTAACCTTTTTCCAAAAGCTAGGAGAGAACTAGAACAGGGGAAACTGGCATCTACAGGACCCCCAAGTGCTCTGTGGACAATACCCTCTACATGCATGCATCCCTCAGAGGGGCCAGCCATGGGGCTTGGCTTACAGTAAATGCTGGCAAACACTTCATAACCACAAAACATGATGATCTGACACATCAGCTAATAGTCAGGGAGGCCTTCCCTGATCCTTCAACTCTGTTAGGTGTTCCTGCTATAAGTCCCCAGGGCCCAGTGTACTTCCACTTCCATAATTCTTATTCCTCTGGTAATTGGGAGGCCTGGGTGCAAATGCCGGCTTATTTACTACCTGTGTGACCGTGAGTGAGTTGCTTCACCTTTCTGTGAGCTGTCTCACTGTCCCCATCTCTAAAATGTTGATTAAAATGGCGCCTACCTCATAGGGTTATTGTGAGGGTTCCATGTGTTAATATTGAACACATGTTCAATATTCATAATATTCAATAATAATAATATTCAATAACAATAAGCATGTCATAGTGTTTAGGTAAATGAAATTTCTAGTCGAAGTCTGCCTCTCCCAATAGATCATTTGCGCCTTAAGCACAGGGATACTGTCTGTCTCAATTACTGTTGCATTCCCATTGCCTCCCACACAGCCTTGAGAGAATAACTACTGCATAAATAAATGTTATTGGATGAATAAATGAGTGGGTAGCAGCCTAATCAGGAAAACTTCTACTCCGCTGATAACAAGAAATGACTTGCACACTACAAAGAGCCCAGCAGATTAAGCAGAACAAAAATGTGCTTGCAGATTTTCTAGTGGGGTTGGTCTGAGAGGTGGGGATAGGGCTATTTCAAAGTGGTTCCGCCACATCCCATATCCTAGTGAAATAGATATCAGCTGAGCACCTTGTCTTTACCATGCACTTGCCAATGTCACAGCCGACCCACTGCATGTAGGCCTTTTACTAAAGATTGAAGGGTAGAGAGACAAAGAAGGTCCTGTCTCAGCTCTTAACAAGCTTGCCTCTAGCGCAGAAACAAAACAGAGACATTCACAAGAGAGTAGGCTATAAGGAATGATTAAATATTAGTTCTAGATCTCTCATTCGAGAGCGTGCCTTTATTTAGCATTATAGGAATTGTTTTGATCTGGGATGTATTCACGATGATACGAAGGGCTTCAGTGGTGAGGGAAAGGATGTCTGTTGTCTCACCGTCCCGCCTGCCCCTGTGCCCAGCCACACCCCCACCCCACTTCTGTGAGGGGGCATGTGGCAGGTCCTTAGGCGGTGGGCTGTTCTCGTCGACATGGGCACCCACCCCAGCCTTATAACCCTGCCTCCCCCAGAACTTCCTCAGCTGCTTCATGAACAGACCAGAGACTCCATTGGTAAACTCTGGGACTCATAAGGCTGGTGACAAATGGCGGAAGTGTCTCATGTCTGCTCTCACACCCCTTATCTCACTGAGGCAAACAGAGGTATTATTTTAACAATGAAAATGGAAGCTCAAAGAAGTAAAGGAACGTGGGTCCACACATAAAGCTAATCTTGGCAGAGACGGAGCCACCTGACTCCCAGCCAAAGTGTTTTTAAGATGCCAACCTGTAGTGTCTTCTGCTGAAAGCTTGGTGTTTGGGGCTAACCTAGGAAAGAGGCCATCTTCTTCCGTTCTGATCAGTTCAGCAGCATTGCTGAGTGTCAACTCTACTGCAGGCACTGCGCTGGACACGGGTTATGGACGAGTAAGCCATTGTCCCTTCCCCCATAGGGCCTCAAGACTACCCAGGCACTGCCTCTAATAGAGGAGAGCATGAAGTCTGCCATATCTAAGAGATGACTCCACCCTCACCACAAGATTAAAAAGCTGAAGTCACAGGCAGTTCTCACGCTTACCACGCTGAATATGCATGCTACTATTTATAATAGTGATATTCAGTATGAGCCAAATGCCAGGAAAAGAATTCCTTCCCATGAAGACCTGATCAATTTTCTCTTCTCCAACAAAATGACTTTATGATTTATTGTGTTTCCTTTTGCACGTTGCTGCTAGGAAGCTTCGTATTAACTTTCCTAATCAACGTCAACCCTAACGCAGGTCCCTAATGGCATGTTTATTAATAATGTGTTGTCCACTTCCCCACCCCTGGCCTTGACTCATATTCTAATGTGCATTTCCCCTGGTCCTCAATCTGTACATTTTGCTTCTTGTTTACCATTCATGGCATGTGTTTCTGTAATAAATTGCTGCAAGTCCCGATGGAATGAGGCAAGGCATACATGAATATAGCTACCATTTTTGAGAACCGACGATGTGCCAAGTGTTACAGGTACCTTATGTTCAATTCTCACAAAACCCTACCAGCTGGATGTGGAAAATCATTCTCTTATAAATAAGGAAACTGAGGCCCAGAGAAGTAAAGGAACACATTCAAGGTCAAACAGCCTTTCGGTGATAGGATTTCAACATGACTCTGTCCAACTCCAAAGCCTAAAGTGGTATTGCTATTAAATAATAAAAGTAACACAATTTATCTTCAAACATCAAACCATCACCCAGGAGCATTTTATATATTTTTCTGACAATAATCGGATGAAGAGGCAGGGTGGATATTATTACTACCCTTATTGAAGTGCTAATAGATTAAATGACTGTCACAGAATTTCTCTGTCAGGAAATGAACAAAAGTCCCTCGCCTAGACCAAAGATTCTTGACTATTTCCCAGGAGCCCTGGAGTCTTCTGTAGGCACACATCCTTGGCTCTATAGCCCTGGGTGCAATCTTACTTGTTGGGTTTGTTGTGCAAGAATTATTTAATAAAAGGGAAAATTTCCCTGTTTAATACACTTGAAAGTCACCACCCCAGCGCGTTGGAACCCAGGAATGACCCTGCTGGCAACTCACCAATCATCTTGAGCCTTCCAATTCTATCCATGAGCAGGGCAGAAATGATGTTCCCGGGTAAGACAGACAGGCTGCCCAGGAAGCTGACGAGGTAAATCAGGAAGTCATTATCTTGCTCCAAGTCCATGTGGCAGCCCTCCTTCTGCTCCAGGAAGGTGGAGTTGATAAACCGACAGTTGATGAACTTGTGCTCGTAGAGGTCTGGGGAGAGAAGGAAACCTTCGGTTCATGTAAGTGGAAGGGAGCTGGAGAGAGAAAGGCAGAGGCAGGGATGAAGTCTGCCCCCTCCTGTAGGCAGGCTGTGCCAGCCTTTGCCAGTCAGACAGCCTCAAAGTCAAGGTAATATGTGGCCATGTCATCAAGGTATGGATGAGGAGAGAAACTTCCAAAAATGTAATGACCTGTTCAAGTTCCTAAAAGCAAGGGGAAATTAAACTAACATTGAGAGACTTCAAAATGCATCCTCTCAGCCAGGTGTAGTGGCCCACATCTGTAATCCCAGCACTTGAGGAGGCCGAGGTAGGAGGATCACTTGAGCTCAGGAGTTCAGGACCAGCCTGGGCAACACAGTGAGACCTTATCTCTACAAATAAATAAATAAATAAAATTTTCTTTTAAATTAGCTAGGTGGGGTGGTGTGTGCCTGTAGTCCCAGCTACTCTGGCACCTGAGGCAGGAGGATCACTTGAGCCCAGGAGGTCAAGGCTACATTGAGCCATGGTCATGCCACTGCATTCCAGCCTGGGCAAAAGAGGGAGACCTTGCCTTTAAAAAAAAAAAAATCATCTCTCCAGCTGGATAACAGTCCTGTTTGTACCAATCAGGTGACACTGAGACACTGAGGGCCACGGCAGCTAGGCCTCTCCTTGGAGGCTACCTGGCATAGGGGAGCAGAACACAAGAGAGTTGGTTCCAGATGGAGCCGATCACTCCAGAGCCCATGCTGTAGTCTGTGCCAAAACCTGAACATTCTTAAAAAATAAAAGCCATTTGCATTGGAACCAGTTTGCAAGTCTTCTGACACCTTCTAAGATCAGCTGTTCTGACAGAAAAAGTACTAAACAGGCTCCCTAGAAACCTGCGTTTGGGGAGCTGGCCCTGCTGCTGACCCTCTTTAACCTCCCTGAGGCTCTACCTACAAAATCTACAAAATTGGAAGAGTGCACATGATCATCTCCACTGCTTCTCCCAGCTCTGACATTTCCTGACTACACGTGTTTGCAAGAATCTCCATGGTAAGAGTATTCAAATGAGGAGGCATCATTCAAACTTGAAATCATAAAACAATATGCCAGTTTCTAATGACACTTATTAAACTTCCGGAACTCATTATTGTTTCAAGATCAGTCTAAAAGGAAATTCAGGAAGGTTAGTGCCAGAATGAATTATTAAGAGACTCCAGAATATTTAGAGACCAGATCTTGAAGCTCTTGAGGCTGATATCATAGAGGAAAAAGATGTTCTTATATAAACTATCCCTTGCTGCTGATGCCAAGAATAAAGCATAGATCTGGACATAATGCAAGTAGTTCTGTGGAAAGATTGCAGGCTTCAGAGCCAAACAACTGAGGAATGAATCCAAACTCCTTCCACTTGCTAACCACGGCCTTGAGCAAGTTGCTTAAGTCTTGATTTCCTTAACTCAGTTTCCTTAGCTATAAGAGAAGGATTAAAAAAAAATAGTACATTTCTCCCTTGAGACAATGTAGGTAAAGCCCCCTAATGAAGCTCAGTTGGTTTCCTTATACCCCGACTTCACTTGGTATGTTATTAATTTATGATGAGGGTAGTAAAAGTAACAAGAAGAGGTGTAGTGGTAGAATTTTGGGACTTTTTAAATCACAGAAATCTGAAATAGTATGATTTTAAAATAGTCTTTGTATTTCACTTTATGCAAAAAATGTGAACAGATGTAATTTTCCCTTTCCATTTATTATTGTGAGAACATGAGTCTTGCATTTTGCAAGTTTCAAATTGTGCAAGGTCTTCAAGAATGCATTCCGTGCATAAAATGCAGCCCTCCTGGAATGCCAGTTGTTATTTGTGTCATCCTTTGTTCATACCAAAGACCCTTCGTGTATAGCATCAGCCTCACTGACATGAGGACATTTGGCTACAACTTTTGTTTCCATTTCATTTGTGATAAAACTGAGACGCAGATACATTAAATGCCTTAGCAAAGGCTGTGCACCTAATTTGTGCCATGCCTGGGGCTAAAATCCATTTCCCCACCAAGGCTTGGCATTTGTATCTACGAATACTTTCCTACTCCTAAAGTTTATGCCTGACCATTTTGATTCTTGGACAACACAAGTTGTCTCCTGTTACTTTCTATTCAATCTGTCAATGTTCTTACCTACCTGTGTTGTAAAAGATGGTTGATTCAATGGTACAATTTTTGAAGTAGGTATCTGTTGATGTTACGTCTTCAAAATAGCACTCGTCAAAGAATGTGTCCTCAAAGAGTACATGTTTAAAGTACATTCTTGTGAACCTGTGGGAAGAGGTTGACCCTTGAGTGATTCATCTGAGAAAAAAAGAGACTTAAGACCAAAATGGAAAACACAGCAAGGCAGAAAAAGGAGATGTGCAAGCAAAAGGTGCCAGAGCATTATTTTCAACCCAGACCACTTCCCCACTTCTTAGCTGTTTGTTTATTAGTGGGGAAGGGCTTCAGGACCTGGAAGCCAGTGTCTAGCGTAGGTGCATACGGAGTGCTATGCACCAACCTGCTGGTTTTCAAAGGCAGGTCCACGGACCTTCTAAGTCAGAATCACAGAAATGTGAAATAGTGTGAAATTTAAATATTAATAACACCTCACTTTCTGAGACATTTTTAAAACATGCAGGTCCCTGGAGTGGTCCTAGAAGTTTTGGAAGCCATAGAATTGTGAAGGTCTGAGAATCTTCATTTTTAAAAAAATTGTCCCAACAAAGATGTGGGGAAATAGGCCTTTCATTCATACTATTGGTAGAATATAATCCATGCAGCCTCTTTGGGGAGCAATTTTGCAAAATTTGAAATGCACGTTCTCTTTGACCTAGGAATACCACCTCTAGGAATTTATCCTACACATACTTGCCCATGTATTCAAAGAGATACATTCACTGATCTTCATTGTAACACTGCTTGTAACAACAATGGATTACTACATACATACATATGTAATAGATGCCATATAATGGAATACCATGTAGCCATCGTAGTAAATGAGGTAGATCTATATGTGTTAATATGGAATAATCTTTAAGATATATTGTTAAGTTAAAAAATCAAGATGCAACATAGAGTTTACAAGACAGGCTCATTAAGGTAAGAAAGGGCATGGATACATATGCTTCCAAATATATCTGGAGAGCTACACAAGAAACTGATAGAAACGGTTGTTTCCAGGGAGGCACAATGGAAGTGAGGAATAATACACTTAATTTTCACTTTATGCCAAGCGTATGTATTATGTGTTCACTTTTTTTTAAAACTCAGTTAAAAAGACAATAAGGCACCTAGACGATTCTGAGGCGCAGCCACATGTGGGAGTCACTGCACCTCTCCAACTCCTGCATATTTAATAGGAAAGAACAATGCAACATTTAAAAATGTATCTCACATACATTACCATCTTCCTCTGTTGGCTATATTTAACAAGCTTGGTCAAACTTTTAGGCTGGAAGCCTTTAAATATGTCTTCATTTGCAAATAATTACAACACTTTCTTTCATTCTTCTATTCATTCACTTACATATTTAGTCTTCTGCAAACACTGAGCATGGTACTAGGTGCTATGAGTATAGAGAGGAAAGTCATGGTCCCTGCTCTCCAGTCTAATTGGAAAAAAGTGCAAGCAAATAGGCAACTACAATACAGTGGAAATCGGCATGACAGAGATAGCACAGGGTGCTGATGGCCATTGTTCCTTTTCAAAAGGGCCACCAAATAATTCACTCCATGACCACCTACAATGGGCCAGTGACCCTTATCCTTCATGCTCTATCATGTCCTGCTCAGAACCTTAATCTAGAGCTGCCAATCATTAGCTTCTGCTAAAAGACCCCACACAAGAAGTCCCGGGCAAGTGTTCACCAAAAGCAGGACCCCAGACCACTTGCATCAGAATAAACTTGAGGTTATTATTAAAGATGTCATTTCCTAAATTCCAGCCTACACCTCTTGAACCAGAATCACCAATGGCAGAGACCAGATTATTATACTTAAAGAAATTTGAGAATCATTGGTCTAGAAAACCAAACTATTTTGAGAAATTTTTCTTAGGGCCAAATTTGCTACAGACTTTTAAACAGGGGCCTCCAAAAGCTATCACTAAATTCTTCAGATTTCCATGGGAAAACTAATTGGTGAGTCTTTTGTTACAAGAAGATGCCTCTGATGTCAAAATGTATAAGCTAGACGTGTTTACTTAAGAGAGCTATTCCTGGAGACTGTTGCAGACCTTTGCTTTTCTTAATATATCCTTCTCTCTAATATAGTAATAGGCTGCTGATGTAGCCTTGGGTGATATTTTAATATTCTTCCCAGGGTGTCTGAGAAGGCAGAGCCATAAATCATAAATGGGTCTGACGCAGGCAGCCCTTAAAATGTCTCTCCAAGTCAGTTAGAAAAAGCCAGAGTTATAAGGGAAGAGATAAAAGGAGAAAGGGCCAACACATATTTTATGACGCTCTACATAAATCATCTCCTCCGATCTCCAGCCTATATACTGAATTGGCCTACCCAAGATTCTTGATTCAGGAGAGTTCAAAAGATGAAAGAAATGTTAGCAACAGTACTTTGTAAGCTTTTCCTTTAAGGCAACAGAAGCCATTGGCAATCCAAGGTCCATGACAAAATTGTCATTACATACACTTTGTTTCAGTTGCCTTCAGGCCCAATGGTTAGTCCAGCAAGTGATTTAAGCTACACCAAAGTCACATTCAACATGTGTTAGGCTTGAGGGCATCACCCTAAAGAAATTCAGTCTAATTAAAGAGATAAACAAGAAAACCAGCCATTAAAATTTAGTGTGATGATTATCAAGATAGAGGTATGCTATAAAACCACTTCTAAGGGGACACTTGTGATCCAGTTGGGTAAAGTATGAGGTGACTCACCCTGAAGGAAGAGTGAAAGCTCTCTAAGCAAAGATAAGGACATGTATTCCAGACAGAGGGAAAAGCATGTGCAGACACAGATGCATGTCATATATACTCTTCAATTGCCTTTTTTGAAAGCAGAGAATTCTCTTTCACGTAAATTACATCGTCATTTAAGGAGAAAATAAATAAAGGCTACGGCTCCCCAAAGTTCACACACATAAATATTTTAATAAGCTCTCTAGCCACCATGAAATGAAATAGAGTTCTTAAGAACAGGCACCCCGGCTTCTCACATATTACCTTAGATCAGGTCCTAATCTGAGGTAAATCAAAAGACAAATAAGAGGATCACTTCAGAAAATATGTACTTGGGCCTAATTTGCTTAAAGAAAAGAGGAAACAAATTCTTGCCTGAATATCTGTGTAACTTCTTTTTTTTTTTTTTTTTTTTTGAGACGGAGTCTCGCTCTGTCGCCCAGGCCGGACTGCAGTGGCGCAATCTCGGCTCACTGCAAGCTCCGCTTCCCGGGTTCACGCCATTCTCCTGCCTCAGCCTCCCGAGTAGCTGGGACTACAGGCACCCGCCACCGCGCCCGGCTAATTTTTTGTATTTTTTTAGTAGAGACGGGGTTTCACCTTGTTAGCCAGGATGGTCTCGATCTCCTGACCTCATGATCCACCCGCCTCGGCCTCCCAAAGTGCTGGGATTACAGGCGTGATGTGTAACTTCTTACATTCTCCAGGTGTAGGGGTCAGGCCTTCACCCAACCTGTGATGCCACCCTCCAAAAAATGAAGAGTCTAACTTTCAGAACTTAACCACCAGGAGCCCTCAAACAATTTTCTTCTCCTCTCGAAGCCCGCATTTAAAAAAATCTATAAAATAGGGGTGTTGAGAAGATGGCTCTTTTTGCAGCTCTAGCATGGTTCCATAAACGGGGCGTACTTTTACTGTGTGTAGCCCCAAGAAAGAAATAAAAGAGTGGACTTAGGAGATGGCCATCTTACTTCCTCAAATACTGAAATATTATCTCATGAAGAATCAGAAAATGTTCATGATGGGAAATCCTGGTGCCAACGTCAACCAAATAGCGTAAGGACATACATTCTTGTGCCTCAGTGAGTCTGGCAATAAAATCCAACTTCCCCTCTCTTTCTTTTCTTACACTCAAAGATACCTGAGTGGTGAAATCACGATACTTCACTCTGTCTCCTTTACAAAGATCCTAGCACATTTACTGCCTTTAGGAACGATAACTGAAGCATAGAACATAGAACAAAAAGGGAAATAATAAGGATATAAACATTAAATTAGCAAGAGAAAAATAGTAGAACAAATTCATATATAAATATAGTTAGAAACATCCTAAGTCAAACACTAATTTAGCCATGCCAAAATCTGGAAACAATTCAAAGATCCCTTCAACAGGTAAATGGATAGACAAAATACAGTAATACATTCAAATCATGGAATACTACTCCACAATAAAAATAAACTACTAAAAATGCAATAACATGGATAAATTCCAAATGCATTATGCTAAGTAAAAGAAGCAAATTCAAAAGGCTTCCTATTGTATAATTCCATGTAAGTAACATAAAGAAGATCATTGGCTGCCAAGGACTGGGGATGGAGAAAGGGCTGACCACAAAATGGCATGGGGAAATCCAGGAGGTAATGGAATTGTCCTGTATCTTGCTTGTGTTGATGGTTACATGACTGCATGCCTTTGTCAAAACTCACAGTGCTGTATACTAAAAGGGGTAAATTTACTGTACATAAATTATTCCTCAATAAAAAAGGAAGTTTCAAAAAGTTTCTAAGGTAACCATAGCTAAAACAAAATCCAAACCAAGCTCAACTACTGCCTAGATTTTCTTAACCTCCCCACATACTGTTAAAACCTAGCAAAAGAGGTGTACACATTTTTTAGTCCCTACTGTCATACAAAACATCTGACTTGCAACCCAACATTACAAGACATACAAAGAAGCAAGAGTAAAACAACATCATATCAAGACATAATCACTTAAAAAATAATACTCAGTTGGGAGGCCAAGGTGGGCAGATCACCTGATGTCGGGAATTTGAGACTAGCCTGACCAACATGGAGAAACCCCGTCTCTACTAAAAATACAAAAAATTAGCCAGGTGTGGTGTTGCATGCCTGTAATCCCACTTATTCAGGAGGCTGAGGCAGCAGAATCACTTGAACTGGGAGGCAGAGATTGCGGTGAGCTGAGATCATGCCATTGCGCTCCAGTCTGGGCAACAAGAGCAAAACTCTGTCTCAAATAATAATAATAATAATAATAATAATAATAACAACAACAATAATATAAATACTGGAACTATCAGGCAGGGAATTTAATATAATTATTATTAACATATTAAAGCCTTAAAGGAAAAAATGGTTAACACGCATGAGCAGTTGAGAAATTCCAGCAAAAAGATGCAAGCTATAAGATTCAGAAAGAAACGCTAGAATTGTTTTAAATAATGTAACAGATATTAAGAATGTCGTTGATAGACTCATTATTAGGCTCATCATGGCAAAAACAAAGGATTACTGGAGTTATAGATAACTCAAAAAATATTACCAAAATTGAAACATAAAGAGAAAAATAAGGGAAGAAACAGAGAAAAACATCTAAGAGCTATGGGAAAATATCAAACAATCTAACATAGGTGCAATTGGAATTCAAGAAAGATAAGAGAAAGAAGAAGTATTTGGAAAGACAAAGGCAAAGGATTTTCCTAAAGTAATGAAACCAATCAAACCATAAGTTCATAAAACTTATAGAACCTCAATAGAGTAAATCCCAAGAAGAAGGAGGAGAAGGAAGATGAGGAGGTGGCGGTACACCTAAGCACATGATATTCAAATAGCTGAATATCAAATATAAAGGGAAAATCTTGAAGGGAGCAAAAGAAAAAAAATCATGTTACATACAAAAAAATTAATAAATAAAGATAAGAATACAGCAGACTTCTCATCAGAAAGTATGCAAGCCAAAAGACAATAGGGTGAAAGCTTTAAATTTCTAACTGGAAAAAAAAAAAAAACTGTCCACCCAGATTTTATACCCAGCAAAAATATTTTCAAAATTGAAGAGAAGAAACAGATCCATCAGACAAACAAATACTGAGAAAATGTATTGCCATCATAATTTCACTACAAGAAATAGTAACGGGAAGTTCCTCAGGCATAAGAAATATAATACCTATCTACATTTGAAACTTGGATGTTCACAAAGAAATGAAGATCTCTAGAAATGGTTAAGTACATTTTCCTCTTTTTTTTGGAGACAGAGTCTCACTCTGTCACCCAGGCTGGAGTGCAGTGGTGGTATCTCAGCTCACTGCAACCTTCACCTTCCAGGTTCAAGTAATTCTCGTGCCTCAGCCTCCCAAGTAGCTGGGACCACAGGCATGCAACACCATGCCTGACTAATTTTTTGTATTTTTAGTAGAGACAAGGTTTTACCATGTTGCCCAAGCTGGTCTCGAACTCCTGAGCTCAGGCATTCCGCCCACCTTGGCCTCCCAAAGTGCTAGGATTACAGTTGTGAGCCACTATGTCCAGCCTATTTTTCTTCTATTTTTAATCATTCTAAAAGATAGTTCACTGGGTAAAGCAAAAATAGTAGCAATATATCACGTGTTTATAGCATATGTAAAACAAGTATGTATGACAACAATCACATAAAACAGGAGAGAAGAAATGAGTGTTCTGTTGTAAGGCTCTTACACTAAAAGTGAAGTAATAGAATAATACTTGAAGGCACATTATGATTAATTAAAGATGTATATTGTAAGCGCTAAGACACCACTAAATTTTTTACAAAGAGGAATAAGTAATATACCAATAGTGAACGTAAAATGGAATTATGAAAATAATCTAAAAGAGGGTGGGAGAAAAGAAAAAACAAAAAACATGCAAAACAAATAGAAAATAGCCAGCAAGATGATAGGCTATAATTCAACCATATAAATAATTACAATAAGTATAAATGTTCTATACACACGGATTTAAAAATAAAGAGAGTCAGTTTAGGTGGAGAAAGGAAGACCTAACTATATATTAATTACAAGAAATTCACTTAATTATAAAAATATACATAAATTGAAAGCAAAAAAATGGAAAAAGTTATACAAACACTGATCAGAAAGATGCTGGAGATTTAGATAATATCAGATAGTAAACTTAGAACAAAGACTACTATCAGGGATTAAGGGTACATTACATAATGACAAAGGTTTCAATTCACCCGTAACATATAATGGTTATAAATATGTATACACCTAACAACAACAAAAACAAAGTCCTAACACATTTTTATTTCTAAGAATAAAAATCATACAGACTGCATCATCCGGTCATAGCACAAGTATATATAAATGATCAATATTTAACGGTATTTTGACACTTAAAATGCACTTCTAAATAGCTGGTGAGATGAAGAGTGAATATTAATGGAAATTGTATTAGTACAAAAAAGGAGGACTTACAATTACAGATCCAACAGATTTTAAATGTCCTAAGACAAGACGATGAATACTTTTATGCTGATAAATTGTAAAACTTTTAAAATATAATTTTTCAAAACAAGAACTACCGCACCTGAATATACAAATACCATTACAAAATGAATTGGTCATCTAAATGTATTGTCTCCATAGATGGCAGGCTCACTTGGTTATAGAGGCTGGTTTTACCAAACCTTCAAAAAATTAACAATCCCTATCTTATATAGTTTCCTTTAAGGAAAAGAAAGAGAGGACATAACAATGATACCAAAGTTGAACAAGAACAGTATAAGCTAAATATACACCGTATACTACTGGTGAGAGTGCAAATTAATGCAATCCCTTTGGAGAACAATGTTTCCAGCCTTTCACCCAGCAATTCCTCTTCTAGGTACATAGCCTAGAAAAATTCCTTCCTGACAACACTTTTTGCAGCTTTATTTGTAATAGCAAGAAAAGTTTATTAACTACTTAAATGTCCCTCAAAAGGAGAACAGATGGATACATTATGAAATATGCATATAAAAATTTGAATTAAATGACATTGAGTTATATAGTTTTCTCCCCCAACAGAGTATTCTCAAAATCATAATTTTACACAAAAAACAAGTTGCATAATTTATAATAATTATATATCTATACATGTAATATAATATGGTTTTATCTAAATTTTGAAACATTCAAAAGACTGCTGTACAATGTTTATGATACACATGTATATGCAAAAAGTGTAAAAAATGCGTGAATGTAAAGCACCAAACTTATGACAATGGTGATCATGACCTCCGGCGAGGGAGAAGAATATTATCAAAAGGAGTAATGCTTCATCAATTTTGACATCTGGAGTAAACATAGTTTATGATTTTATAAAGCTAGGTGCTCTGAATAGGGCTGCTTATATTATTCTCTCTTCTCTGCATATTTGAAATGTTTTATAATGGAAAAAAAGAGAGGAAAGGAGCCAAAGAACTAGTTACTTGCAGATGATAGGATTATATAACAAGAGAAAAACAGAACTATCAGAGAGCTCAGAGACAAAATAAATATCCAAAACTCAACAGGGGTCTTATTTATTTGCTACAACATGTGCACATGTTTGACAGGGGAAAAGGAATCCAATTTTCAGCAGCCAAAGTACAAACTATCCAAGATGCTCCACAAGAACCATGCAGGACCTGGAGTAAGCTACAGAACTTGGCTGAGAAATGTTATCAACTCTGAAATATGATATACATTCTACATCAATATTATCACATTCTGATGTGGAATCCTAGGCTTAGACAGGTCACAGATTTGCCTAGGTTGGCTCAGCTTGTTATTAAACAATCAAAGCTAGAACCCAGCCTTGGCAACTTTCTGGGATCAAGAAACCAGAAGCTGCATTGACCTGGCCCACCACTGGCATCTTCGAGGAGCTTTACTCTACTGAAATTTAGTCCCACTGCAGTTGAAGAATATTCTTATTTAGAGCCAGGCGTGGTGGCTCATGACTGTAATCCCAACATTTTGGGAGGCCGAGGGGGGCGGATCACTTGAGGTCAGGAGTTCGAGACCAGCCTGGCAAACATGGCAAAACCCCATCTCTACTAAAAGTACAAATACTAGCCGGGCATGGTGGCACGCGCCTGTAATCCCAGCTACTCAGGAGGCTGACACAGGAGAATCGCTTGAACCTGGGAGGCGGAGACTGTAGTGAGCTGAGATCATGCCAATGCACTCCAGACTGGGAGACAGAGTGAGACTCCATCAAAAAAAAAAAAAAAAAAAAAAAAGACGAATATGCTCATTTATCCCCCCTCCCCAAAGGAGCCTTGGCGTGTAACATTTCAGTGTGATGCGTGACAGCAACCTCTGTTCTATTGTGTGTGTGTGTGCTTTCTTCCTCTCTCTGCTCTTCCTGCCCCCTGCTATCCTACCGGCCTCATTTTAGAGCTAAATCTTGTGAACTTCATTTTCATACTGAGCTATTCACCTCTGACCTTTACTAAAAACTCAAGAGAGCTTTTCTCCCATCCTTCATTGGCAAATCATCTGAGTGAGCAGTTACACGTTCCTACCTGAGTAAGAACACAGCATCAGCTTTGAGGAACCGCCAGGAGTAAGACATTACTTCCTGGGTCACGACCTATCACAGACAGAAATCAGGCATCTCTCCCTGATGTGCAGAAAGGTTTAAATAAGATAATGCTCTCCTGCTCCTAACCCTCACAGAAGAAAGCCCTACCAAGCAGAAATGTCTTCCCAGGAAGAGAAGGTAAGTTTGTTAATTAATTACTTAGTTAATACATATTCTGGGTAGAAACTCTATCCTGTTTTTAGCTAACAATAAAGGAAGCCTGGCCTGACATTTTGGCTCAGGGTTTAAAACATGAACTTATTCTTTTGCCTTTCTTGCACTTTCCAAAAACTCACAGGTTTTGAAGCAAAAGCTTCATGGGTACTCAGAGCCCCCAGATCCCCAAAAAGGCACTAGAAGGATGCAGATGATGCTTTGGGAGCAGACCAAAACTAACCTTGGCACTTTTGTTTCTTCTTGGGGGCAAAGAGATTGGTTTTACTGCAGGATGAAACTGAGGTTTCAATAGAATTTCCTTTGTCAACAACTTCCGTGGGTGAAGCTCTGTTTACAAAAAATAATTTTCCACCATGCGTGATACTCAATAAAATAATTTCCATCGAAACCTTAAATCAGCCAAGTATGAATAAAGTCAAAGGAGGAATACTGGTAAGGATAGAAGAAATGCCCCCAAGGAAGCCAAAGAACACGCGTGTATTCATGGAGGCGCTCAGAAGAGGGTTGGGGTTTTCAAAGATGAGCTGTTTTCCAGCTCACGACCAGCAGATGGCAGCATAACTCAAGAAAAGAAGCCAGGCTCCTTTCATTCCTTAGATCGCTTTCAAAGGTTCCTAACCAGTCAAGGAGAAAAATACCCTTTTTATTCAAGCAAGTTGCTGGGGAGGGAGTGGGGGAATTATGGGCTTCAAATAATAGTGGGTATAGGTTTAGTGTCTGTTGGTTAAAAAACATGTACCATATGATGAAAGTTACAATGAACTCATTACAACTTTTGAAGAAATTTATATTTTCATAATCATACAAAAGCATCTATGTACATTTGAAGCATAGAAACATGGTAGAAAATGTGTGAAGACAATCCACTCCAAGACAATCCTTGGCACACCTATACATTCCCAGACCTTGGCAATAACACTGGCTGCTACAGTTACCATTATTAGCAATTTCATTGTCACTACTATCAATATTATTACTCATATCACAATGATATATCTGCTAAACACTGGGAACTTCAGAAATGAGGTCTCCTTAAAAGAATTCATCTCTGCAGGGAATGGTGTCACCCCGTGGGGCGGGGAGAGGCATCTAGTCATCCATAATGTTCCTCAGGGGGTCCTGAATCCACAAAATTCATTAACCATCATCCACAGGATTCACCGTCCACCCATCATCCACAGGATTCACCATCCACCCATCATCCACAGGATTCACCATCCACAACATCATCCACAGGACTTACCGTCTGCCCATCATCCACAGGACTCACCGTCCTCCGATCATCCACAGGACTCACCGTCCTCCCATCATCCACAGGACTCACCGTCCGCCCATCATCCACAGGACTCACCGTCCTCCCATCGTCCACAGGACTCACCGTCCTCCCATCGTCCACAGGACTCACCGTCCTCCCATCATCCACAAGATTCACCGTCCGCCCATCATCCACAGGATTCACCGTCCCCCCATCATCCACAGGATTCACCATCCCCCCATCATCCACAGGATTCACCATCCCCCCATCATCCACAGGATTCAACACTGCTTTCTTCAGCCCCTGTTTCCTCCTCACTCCCACCCAGCAGTTTGCTGAAAGCCCGGAGAAGCTGAGCAAAGTTAAAATGACAGAGTGGATCAAAAGTCTCCACTTTCTGCCTAGCTAAGTGTCAGAACTGCAAAACCTGCTTGTTACAAATCACAAGGACTCTGCGTTGTATTGACTTTAATGCAGAAAGTATCATGTAAAACAGCGCCTCTGTAGGAATGAAGAGTTTCCCAATGAGAAAATATTTGTAGTTGTCAAGAGTCCAAGATCTGGAGTCCAAATGCATGGGTTGGGAGATAGATATTTCTATGTATATTAGCTGTGTGATCTTGAGCAAGATACTTAACCTCTCTAAGCTTCTGTTTCCCCACTTGCAAAAGAGAAAGCATATTTCTTGTTCCCTGGAGTTTTGTGAGATATCTACGTAAGGCACTTAAGGTAGCACCTGGCACACAGCAATGCTCATTAACATTGCCTGCTACAGTGACTATCATTGGCATTATTATCACTGTCACTGCTACCATTAGTATTACTTGTATCAAAATAATGTATCACTAAACATTGGGAACTTCAGAAATGAGGTCTCCTTTAGGGAATTCATCTCTGCAAGGAATGGTGTCACCCCATGGGTGACATCTAGTCATCCATAATGTCCCTTAGTTTTCAATATTTCCAAAGTATCCTAATAAAGCAAGGGTGATATTTCTTCCTTGGCAATGTCAACACAAGACCTCCTGACATACTAAAGAGCTCAGACAATGAAACATCTTGGGGGAACTGCCTTCCACCACCACAAGCTGCCATCCCTAGAGTGGTCACTCTGGGCAGAGGATAATGACTCTGAACTGTCTCTGTAGGGGATGTATAGATGCATGGGTATATGAGTATGGAGATGTCTGCAACTGGGCTTCAGCATTTTAAAAATTCTGAAAATCTGAACCCATGTCAATGATACTTAGTCCAAAACCTTCCTTCCCAAAGGTCTGATATTGGTAGAAATAATATTCTCCTTTTTATTGCACACTTTCTCACCTTAAATAACAGGAAGCCTTAGCTAAAGTCTAGCCTGTAAGAACAATATAGAATAAACTGAAAGAGGTATCCTTCCTGGGCTTCACCCAGCCATTCCTTTCCTAAAGTGGCCAGGAGTCACTACAGGTAGGGACTTTACTGAGACACCAGACGCATATGTGGGTGCAGACAGAGGGAGATACAACATTCACCAGAGGTGAGAATTCGTGGTGTTAATTTTGTATTGAAGTGGTAAATATGGGGCAGTTAATGTGACTGACATTGAACTATCTGGGCCATGGTATTTCAGGTGCCACTGTATAGCCCATGGCCACCCATTTACTTACCATTCACAACCTGATGAGCTTGCTAAGTACAGTTCAGGAAGGGACACAGCAGAGGGGTAAATGCTCAGTTTAGTGAATAATGTGGGCTTGGGTAAGCGTGATTAAGGTCCTGCCCTGATCCATCTTGAGGGTTTCAGAGGACAGTTTCAAAGAGGCATTCCTAAAGCACAACAGGGCGGATGGCCCATCTCATTTGTCCCAGAACCAGGAGGAGGAGGAGTAAAATGGATTGAGGAAGCAGCCCCACAAAGCTGTGAACAGGACTTTTCTAATCCTCCACTGATTTTTTTTTTTTCCTCTAAAAAACACTCCTAGCTGACTGTGGACCATACTGATCAACGCTCCAAAGGAATATTAGGTGAAAGAATAACAACAGGGCTTTATTTGTCCTGGCATGGAAAAGCTTCTAGGGTCAAAGTAAAAGCTCAACACCCAGGCTTTGGACTAGTTCGGGAATCTCAGCAGTAAGAGCCCTAGGCCCTTTCTCTGGGCAGCCACTCTTAATGGGACATCACTTGGAAAAATGGCCCAACTGACCGTCCTCAGTCAAATGTCTCCATCCTCACATGAAATAGCTCTCACCAGGAGATTAGGGTGTCGGGGAGCCAGCACAACACAGACACAGCCACTAGGGGAGCTATGGCGTCACTGGCAGCCATGACAGGTTGTGATGATGACACCAGCCTTGGCGCTCATTCCCGGCCATATTTGATTCTTATCTTCCCTCCGGCTCCCTCCCAATAACAGTCCCCACGACTGTCACCCTGATGTGAGGGAAGCCCGTGATCACTCACTTACTTATCATTCACAAGTTTCCCATGTTGGTGGATCTGATTTTCCATCGTGAAGTTGATTGTGGCGCCGTACACATGCTCACCAAAAAACACCTTCATTTTAGACTTGTATTCTTCATCTTGAAAATAGCGGATCATATCAGGAAACCAAACTGTCAGTCCATAGTAACTGGAGTGGAGAAGGCAGAAGGTTGCAACAACAACAGGATTCATTCTTTCATGATCAGGGTCTACACTCTTGACTTGATGCAGATCAAACTCATTGAAAATACATTAATTTGGTTCATTATTAGAAAATCTGACAATATAAATCCTCATATTAATAAATACAAGGGGAAAACTATGACCACCTCCATAAATGCTGAAAAGGCATTTGATTTAAAAGAAATGTTTTCCTGATACAAACACCAATAGATTAGGGGTTGAGGGACACCTCCTTAACATGTAAAATATACATGTCTCAGCCAGAATCTTAGTGAATAGGGAAACACTAAAGACATCCCCACTGGCTGGATGTGGTGGCTCACACCTGTAATCCCAGCACTTTGGGAGGCCAAGGAAGGCAGATCACTTGAGGTCAGGAATTCAAGACCATCCTGGCCAAGATGGCAAAACCCCATCTCTACTAAAAATACAAAAATTATCCAGGTGTGGTGGCACACATCTGTAGTCCCAGCAACTGGGGAGGCTGAGGCAGGAGAATAGCTTGAACCCAGGAGGCACAGGCTGCAGTGAGCCAAGCCCATGCCACTGAACTCCAGCCTGGGTGCAGAGCAAGACTCTGTCTCAAAAAAAAAAAAAAAAGTTTCTTCTTTGTAGAAGCCACTAGAGTTGGTTTTCTGCTACTTGCCACCAAAGCATCCTACCTGATACAAATTCTAAGTCAGAACTCACTGTAATCCTCAATGTGTAAAGGAGGCCACTGAGGCACAGGGAATTACGAAATTTAAGTAAGACAGAACTTACCTGAATGCCATGGCAAACCAAACCACGGCCAGAATCAGTGTATTCATTCTGTAGGGCCCCATCACACAGTACAGGGCATTATCCCAGACCTACAACCCATACCAGAGAAGGATTGTTAAAGAAAGCAATGTGTGACTTTGTTTCTCCCACGAAGAGCTCATTACTCAGATATTCTAATAAGTTGCCTAGGAACCCATGGAGAGAACCGGTACCCCACTGTCTCCTAGAGGCAGCAAAACTGTCCAAATAACAAGGAAAGCCTCTTCTCTTCCTACTGGCTGGCCTCATACTCTAACAGTCCAATAGGATTTTCCCCGGGAGCACAGCATTCCATGAATGTGATTGAAAGCACACTGAGTTAGGACTTCAAGGCACTGAGTAACCTTGACTGCTGAGTTCTACTCCCTGCCTGTGGGCAAGGGGGATATTGCAAACATTTACTGACCATACACCATGAAGGCCAACCAGTCCCAATAGACGCTGGCTGTCTGGCTGCCTCAGTGCTCAATAGCTGACTGGCTCCCTACTTGGAGGAGCCAGTGCTCCAGAGAAATGGCATTGCCCTTTTAGAAAAATGTTTCTTGGAAATCAAGAACAAGCCTCAAGGGGTCATTTATTTTACTCACTTCTTCCTCCATGTGATTATTTTAAAATTTGCTAGAGAGAATAATGTTTACTCAGACTAGACATTTTATCTACATTCAAAATCCCTGCCTTGGGAAGGAAGAACAAAGAAAAGAAACTAAGATTTAGAGAGTTTTCAGCTCCAGGGCACACAGCAAGCTAGAGGCAGACGTGGGCTGGAGCCCAAACGCCCCCCTCCAGGGTTGCTTCCTCTCCATCACGCTGGCCCAGGTTGGTGGGGATGTTCAGGAGCTGCATTTTTCATCCACTAAGGTAAGAGACTCCCATAGAGACGCATCCTCATCCAAAGTAAGTTCCCAATCATACCTGCTTGAAAATGGTCTTGAATCTGACCAGCCAGCGCTGGTACCAGGTTCCTGTTGAACTTTGGATCTCAATGAATTCATCCATTTGCTTGGGAGTTTTGATGTTGGAAACCTGAAAAGTAAAAATAGGATATAGAGAATTTGAACCCCACTTTGTGTCAGAGTTTTCAATGTGTAGTTTAATGTAACTATTTAAACTGATTTAGGACTAGAGGAGTCTGCGATTTCTCAAAGAGCATACTCAAAAAAATTCAAAAACTGTTTCCATCACCTCCTCCAATAAACTTTTCATCTAGGGATAAAGACGAGCCATAGAGTGTCTCCATCTCTTTCTTCAGCCAAAGGACTGAGGATATGAGGAGACAGCAGAAGGGAAATACAGATGCGACTGGGCAATCCGCGGGGAGAAAGCAGTCCCTGGAAAGTGGACAACGGACTCATCATTTCCCGAGGGCTAGGTCTAAGACAGCTTGGCTATTGTTTTTTAAACCCTAAAAACAGTGGGGGGTTTTGTTTTTTTTATTTGTTTGTTTTTGTTTGGTTTTGTTTTTTGAGACACAGTCTCGCTCTGTTGCCAGGCTGGAGTGCAGTGGCACGATCTCGGCTCACTGCAACCTCTGCCTCCCAGGTTCAAACGATTCTCCTGCCTCAGCCTCCCGAGTAGCTGGGACTACATGCCTGCACCACCACACCCAGCTAATTTTTTGTATTTTTTAATAGAGACAGGGTTTCACCATGTTGGCCAGGATGGTCTCCATCTCCTGGCCTCGTGATCCACCTGCCTTGGCCTCCCACAGTGCTGGGATTATAGGCGTGAGCCACTGCGCCCAGCCAAAACAGTGGTTCTTAAGCTTTTGGGAGAATTTGAGAATCTGCTAAAGGCATAGGCTCTCTTCCCAGAAATGTCAAGGACATGACCACACTGTGAGCCTCCTGGACTCATCTGGCCACTCCCAGCTATGCAGCCTTTGCAAATGATCTTCCGCCTGAGGTCAGACAGAGAAGCTTCAGAACTAACAAAGCAGGCTCTGCAGCTGAACTCTTGGCTGCAGCTGGGCTTCAAGCTATTCAGTACCTTCATGGATGTTATGACCCCCAGCTACAGATAAAGGAGGCTACAGGGGAAGTTAACATCAACTCAGGAAGCACCTTAAAAACCACACCCCAAAGCCTTAAGATATCCTCTCAAATGTCAGTTTTTCCTTTCTTTGCTCCTTGGGGAAAATAACAGTCTTCCTTTGGGATTAGGGAGTGAGTGTGTTGACAACTTGAAGCATAATTACTCACTCTAATTTACGATTCATTAGAACAATTGTCTATGATTCAGTCTAAATTAGAATATGGCCTGTGTTCCCCCAGCCCTGCAGATCGTGGGTTCTCAGCCGAATGCTTCAACTCCTTCTCCTTCCAAAGGTTTCACTGTGAGTTTGTGAGGCAGCCAACAGGGCTGGTAAAACCTAGAGCTCACGGCATGGGCATCAACTAAGAGTGTGACTGCCCTAAGCTCTCCCTCCAGGCCACTGAATACATCTATGAGCACGTCTGCTGATGGGACACGCACAGGAGTAAAACAGGTAACACCTTCAAGCTGGGCTGAGTACCCGCCCCTGACCGCCAACCACAGGCTGGCTCTCTAAGGTCAGTTACCACTTTCTGGTTGTCTCTCTTTTTTCATTTCTTTTTCTGGCCCATCCAGCCATTTACTTCTACATCATTAATATAATCATCAAGTCAGTATAGAATACTGAGCCCATAACCTTTTTAAGTCCTTCTTCCTGTTGGGTTAAAACTAAAAGCAGAAGTTATGCCTCAGAGCTTAGTAACTGGCACGCATGCTGGGATAAGACCAACTCCAACATTTTGTAACTCTCCGCACATTGATTTCTGCCTGCACATCCTTCCTCCGGGTGCACTCCCACCCCGAAAATGAGGAACTCTGATCCTGTTGTAAAAGGCTTTTGTGTCTGAAAATTGGCATTTTTATTTATTTCCTGGCTAAGATCTCATTCTTCAGCATTAGGCAGTTATATCTGTTAAAATAACTAAATGGGAGGCCACTCAACGGAGGTGGCTCTAATGCCCTGGGTTCCCACATCATCAAGCAGAAACCTAACTCAGAACTTTAAAGAAAATGAAACAAGCTCAGCCAATCCCAGTTGGCTGAGTGGACACTGGCTGTATTATCTTGAACTTCCCACTGGAATAATCCAAATGAGGCAATGGCCCAAACTCTAACCCAGCAAATGCTTTCTCTGCTCTGCTTCCATGTTCGACCTATAAAAGCCTCTCCCTCGTGCTCCTTAGGGAAAGCCCTGACCCACTTCCAGTGTGAGCTACCTGACTGATGAATCACTGTCTCCATAAATAAACTCTCTAAAATTTTAATGTGCCAGAGTTTCTCTCTTCACACAGTAGAATGCATCGTCAGGAGAGAATGTGGGATCACTTCTCCAAAAATGGGGCTCCCAGTGGGGCCTGTTTGGTTGGTGTAGAAGGAGTCCTTCCAGAAGCAACAGTTAGGAAACGCCTGGCTAAGCACCACTGCGTGGAACCTTCTGTACGAGACACCCTAGAGTAAGACGCAAGTGGGGAGGAGCTGACAGCGTGCCTGGGACAGGCAAGGGCAGACAGGCAGAACAGGGTGGGAAGGAATTATCCAGCAGGACTGCTCCTGGGACAGTCTGTGTGCATTTGAAATAAATCTGTTAATAACTGCTCGAGGCATGGGGAAATCCCAGAAAGACACTCTCAGATTTAAAACACTAGTAACCTACTGTGCATAAGCAAGGAGGAACTGTTTTATTCGAAAGGGAGAAGAATAGAGAGAAGGCAGAGGAAAGGAGGTGGAGAGACTGAAAGGGAGGAGGGGCACGGAGAAAGGAAGGAGAAGGCTGCACTCTGCGATGTAATTCCTCTGTTCACAAATGTTCGGGAAGTCCATTCAACCCAAACGCTTGGTATGGGTGATGTCTGTGTCTGTGTGTCTGTCTTAATGTGTGTCTGTGTGTGTGTCTCTGTGTGTCTGTGTGTGCCTGTGTCTGTGTGTTTGTCTTAATGTGCGTCTGTGTGTTTCTGTGTTTGTGTTCCTGTGTCTGCCTTAATATGTGTCTGTGTCTGTGTCTGTGTGTGTCTCTGTGTCTGTGTGTCTGTCTTAATGTGTGTCTGTGTGTCTCTGCATCTACATGTCTGTTTTAATGTGTATCTGTGTGTGTGTGTCCCTGTGTGTCCGTATGTTCCTGTGTCTGTGTGTCTGTCTTAATGTGTGTCTGTGTGTTTCTGTGTTTGTGTTCCTGTGTCTGTGTGTCTCTGCATCTGTGTCTGTCTTAATGTGTCTGTGTGTCTGTCTTCATGTGTGTCTGTATGTGTGCCTCTGTGTGTCCGTGTGTTCCTGTGTCTGTGTGTCTGTGTTCATGTGTGTCCATGTGTCTGTGTCCGTGTGTTCCTGTGTCTGTTTGTCTCTGTCTGTGTGTCTGTGTTCATGTGTGTCCATGTGTCTCTGTGTCTGTGTGTCTCTGTGTCTGTGTGTCTGTGTTCATGTGTGTCCGTGTGTCCCTGTGTCTGTGTGTCTCTGTATGTGTGCCTATGTCTATGTGTGTCTCCGTGTCTTTGTGGATGTGCTTGTGTATGCCCGTGTTTCAGGCCAGGTTGATGTAGTGCAAAAACCAATCCAGCCAATGTGGAGTCAGAGACTGGAGGCAGAGACAGAAGACCATGGAAACATCTTCCAGAAATAAGCAGCAGCTCGGAGAGAAGCTTAGACTTCCTCTGGCCATGGAACGAGGCAGCAGGGGCAGGGTGGCAGGACTGAGCCAAGTACACCCAGAAGCCTCACCAATGTGTGGCTTCCACACCCGCAGCACAGCGGGAGCACTACAGGCCATCACAGAGTCGGCGGGGATGGAAGATCGGGAGACTCACTGTGACCCTTAACATCTTTCATTTGGAGCATTTCTGTTCATCGTGCTTCTTAATAAATGTTTGCAGTACATGTTCTCCCTTATAAGTGGGAGCCAAATGATGAGAACTTGTGAACACAAAGAAGGGAACAACCAACACTGAGGTCTACTTGGGGGTGGAGGGTGGGAGGAGGAAGGGGGCAGAAGAGATAACTATTGGGTGCTGGGCTTAATACCTGGGTGACAAAATACCTGTACAACAAACCCCCGTGACACACGTTCACCTCTATAACAACCTGCACATGTACCCCGAACCTAAAATAGAAGTTTTAAAAAAATGGCAGGAAAAGCATTGGTCCCATATTTCAGATATTTTAGAAGCATTAGAATTGAGAAAATATCCCATTGAGGAATTTTCCATAAAATTTATAACTTGAGTTAATTTATGAAAAAATGTCATAATAATTTAAATAATGGTTAACGTCTGTGTAGCACTTACTCCAAGCCAGGCACCGGTTTTTGTTTTTGTTTTTGTTTTTGTTTTTTGGTGTTTTACTTAATCCTTACAATAGCCACATATATAGATATGATTATCCCTCTTTTCTCCATGAGAAAAATGAGGCACAGAGAGTACCTTGCCCAAGGCCACACAGCTAGAAAGTGTCAAAACTGGGATTTGATACTTTGGATGCAGGTGCTCAGCCACCGTGTGATCCTGCCTGAAAAGCAGACGTTTGAAGCAACAGGTTAACAAGGGTAAATGGTTTACTTGAGACTGAAATTATGGAAGCTAAAAAATAAAAGCAGTGAATCAAAGTTAGGTAGGAGTTACTCCAGGAAGGTTTCCTTGAGAAAATGGATTTGAAGTAGGGGAAGTTATAAAAACGGGTGCACAAAGATGCCTATAGCCTCCTGGTTTGTCAGAGCATGGCAGGCAGGAAGACAGCGTCTCTGTAACTATCAGGCCATCTTCATAGAAATTACCATTTACCATTTTGTTTTGGTTTTTTGTTTGTTTGTTTTGTCTGCTTTTAAAACTGGCAAGAAACAAAATTCAGACTAATAGCCACTGATGGTAAGGGTGTAAAGAAATGGGTCCTCTATTGCCTGTGGCATTGTAGATTGGTACAACCCAGTTGAAATGTATTATGATTTGGCAATGTATCTCAAGAGCTATAAAAATATCCAAGCTCTCTGAGCCAGCACTTTTATTTCTAGGAGTCTACTCCTAGAAATAAAACAATCCTAGGACATGAAGGGGAAGGAACTATGTGCACAAGAAGGTTCATTGCACTAATATTTACAGGAACAAGGTAGTAAAACTGGATAAACAAGCTTCTAACATTAGAGACATGTTAGGAAAACCATGTTAATGTTTGTAACATTACTGTTTATTAAAATGATGATTATGAATACTAGGAGACAGCATATAAAACAATAATGAGTGCTATACTATTAAATAATATGTACACATAAATATACATACATATGCTTATCCCCAGAGAAATCTGTTTATTTCTGTTATCTTTTTTTTTCAGACACAGTCCTGCTCTGTTGCCCAGGCTGGAGTGCAGTGGCACTATCTCAGCTCACTGCAACCTCTGCATCCTGGGTTCAAGCAATTCTCCTGCCTCAGCCTCCTGAGTAGCTGGGATTTTAGGTACCCGCCACCATGCCCAGCTGATTTTTTTGTATTTTTAGTAGACATGGGGTTTTGCCATGTTGGCCAGGCTGGTCTTGAACCCCTGACTTCAAGTGATCTGCCAGCCTCGGCCTCTGATGTGGTGTGGCTCTGCGTTCCCACACAAATCTCATCTTGAACTGTACTCCCATAATTCCCACATGTTGTGGGAGGGACATGGTGGGAGATAATTTTAATCATGGGGGTGGTTTCACCCATACTGTTCTCATGGTAGTGAATAAGTCTCATGAGATCTGATGGGTTTATCAGGGGTTTCTGCTTTTGCAAATTCCTCATTTTCTCTTGCCACCACCATGTAAGAAGTGCCTTTCGCCTCCCGCCATGATTCTGAGGCCTCCCCAGCCATGCGGAACTGTAAGTCCAATTAAACTTCTTTTTCTTCCCAGTCTCGGGTATGTCTTTATCAGCAGCATGAAAATGGACTAATACAGCCTTCCAAAGTGCTGGGATTACAGGCATGAGCCACCGCACCTGGCACCATTTTTAAAAACAACTAGCAACCTAAGGAAAAACCTCAAAGGATATCCATCAAAATGTGAAGAATAATTATTATAAAGTAACAGCAATATCAGAGTCTTTGTTCTCCTTTTGACAAATTTCCTGTTATGTGCTTAAATTACTTTTTAGTAAATCAAAGCAGTGAAGAGGAGAACCCCCTTCTTATTGGCAGGCAACCCCACACTCACCGTGAACACTTTCTCTGGGGTCCCCTTAGCTCTCATGTTGGTGTCATGGACTTGCTTGAGAATCATCCAGGCTTCATCATGTTTGCCCATCTGGTGAAACCAAGGAAAGACACAGGAAAAATTCATTGCTGACTATGCCTTCTGTTCATTAGGGGTGGAAAATCCTACAAACTCAATGGGAATGTTGATACGAGCATTCCTAGCAGGTCTGAGGCAATTGCACATGGACTCATTACCATCTAGGACCTGTGAAAGACCAGGACAAGCTTCCATCCCCAGCCATTCTTACAAGGATAATAAGGTTGTGCTTTCAAGGTGTAAATGTTAGGTAGTATCATCATTATACACTCTGAGTAACTAATCACAGTTATAAGGTTGAATGGACGGTGGTGTGGGAAGCACGTTCGTCACTGATGAGATAAGGCGAAGAAGCAACATGTTACAGGTTGAATTGTGTCCCCCCAAAAAAAGATATGGTGAAGTGCTAATCCCCAGTACCACAGAGAGTGACTTTATTCGGAAATAGGGTCGTGGCAGGTGCAATTAGCTAAATTAAGATTACGACATTCTGGAGTAGGTGGAGCCTTGTTTCGATATAACTGCTGCCCTTATAGGAAGACCTCCATATGGAGACACAGAGGCATCAGGGAGGACACCATGTGACGATGAAGGCCACGACTGGAGTGTTGCAGCTGCAAGCCAAGGAATGGTCAAAATTGCCACAAACCACCAGAATCTGAAAGAGGCAAGGAAGGAGTCTCCCGTACAGTTTTCTGAGGGAGCATGACCTTGCTGCTGCTTTGATTTGGGACTTCAAGCCTCTGAAACTGTGAGATAAATTTGTCCTTTTAAGTCACTCGGTTTGTGGCATTTTGCTACAGCAGCCCTAGGACACTCATATCCAACCAAGGGTGCAAAACTCCCTGTTGCATCTGCCTCCTGATCAAAGGGGTGAACACGGACATTGGACATGGAGGATCACTCTGCACATGGCTTAGGAAGGAGGCAGATAGGTGGACTCTGCAGATTGGGGCTGGAAGAGCCTCAAGGTCCTGTTGCCCCTCTGCCTGCTTCTGCACTGTCTGACTTCTGCAAGCAGGAGGTTCCCCTGCTGTTGGAAGGCTCATGGGACTCATTTCTCAGGACACAGATGCAGCTGTCTGGTGGCTGGGGACCCTGTGTAGCTAAAAGACCTGAAGTGCTTAGGAGCAGCAACGAGCTGTACCATAGCTCTCAGTGCCAAACACGGAAAACCAGCAGCTCTAAAGAGCTTCCTTTATTTATTTATTTATTTATTTATATTTTTATTTTTTTGAGACAGGGTGTCTCTTTGTTACCCAGACTGGAGTGCAGTGACACAACCATGGCTGTCTCCAGCCTTGATCTCTGGGGCCCAAGCAGTCCTCCCACCTCAGCCTCCCAAGTAGATGGGACCACAGGCATGCACGCACCAAATCGCTCAACTAATTTTTTTTTTTTTTTTTTTGTAGAGATGAGGTCTCCCTGTGTAGCCCAGGCTAAAAAACTTCCTAATCAGGACCTCGGGGGACAGTGGGTGCCATGAGGCAGCTCAGGAGCTGCCCTTCCACCACTGCACAGCCTTGGGAAAGAGCTCCTGCTCTGGGCTCCACAAGCTCTTGAACCATCCAGCATTTGCAGTCCGTGAATCCATGACCTGCCACCATCACAGCCGGCAGGTGCCAGATTCAATGATGAGTGAGGTCAGCCGACCAGGGGAGAGTTTGCAACACATAAGCAGCAGAGGATGTGGGACTAGGAGCTGAGAGAAGGAAGCGAGGCTGGGTTCCTGTGGCTGTTTTGTCACTCTCCCCCTGGTGGAAAAGCACTGACTCACCTCTAGCAGAAACCTTGGGCTCTCTGGCATGAACTTCAGGGCCACCATGGACACGGTGCAGGGCAGAGCACAGACGATGACAAACACTCTCCAGCTATGGAAGTGGTAATTGGTCCCCATGCTGAAGCCCCAGCCTGCAAAGGAGCAGTCAGTCAAAGGATTTCTGGGACATGATCTTTTCCTCTACGGAAGAGTGACTCTGAAGCCCTGGCTCACAAACTTCAGGGCACAAGAGAGTCACCCGGGGAGGTGGTTAAAATGCAGACTCCTCAGCTGTGCCTCCGAAGCTTCTGAGTCATAAGCCTGGGATAGGAGCTGCATCTTGACAAATCTGCAAAATGATATTTCTCACATTGCAAATTCTGCATTCTGACAAATCCCCAGGAATTCTGCATTCTGACAAATCCCCAGGTCCAGGCCTGGCCTGACATTTACAGAGCCTCGGATAAGAGTACAAACAGAAACAATAGCCCGTATCTCTACAGAATCATTATATTTTAAGATGGCAGATTGTTAAAGGAAACATATTCTATTTGCCTGCCTTGACAAGCAACAAGCTAGAAGTCCAGGCCCAGAATTTACACCCACATATGCCACATCCCCTTTTCAATCCCCCACCTCCTCCTTCCAAATAAGGGACCTCATGCAGACATGCGTGGACACACCACTGTGATGAGAATGGGCACTCCTGTCTTGATTTCTTGAGTCTATGGGAATTCCTGGGTCCTGAGCACCCAGAGCATAATCTGGATGAAGATGGGGATGGGGGTCAAGGCCTCAGAGATGCCTTGCCTTATGGGAAGGGGTGCAGCCAGAGGAAGGCCAGAGCAGGGCCTCATACGACCCAGGGCTTCTATTGGTGATCCCTCTTTCCAACGTCAAAGGGCAATGCCAGCTCCAGGTGATTCCAGCGCAAAGGGTTCAGGACCACATTTTGAAAAACACTGTAAGCTGTTATACGGCTACACAATTTTTTTAAATGAGGGACTGAACTTCTACATTCCAATGCATCCCATCATCATTGAAATGGGAAGATAACTAGCTCCTATTCAATCATCATTATTCAAAGCATTGCTAAAACCCATATTCAGAAATTACATTCAAGCATTGTTTTGAATATCCTCATGGGTAGCAAACTTCCCTCTTTTAAGTAATAAAGTGGAAAGAGCCTAGACTTTTGCAGTCACAGAGATCAGAGTTCAAATTCTGGTCTGATCCCATCGAACTGCACTGGTGGGTTTTCGCAGCTGTAGAATACAGGTAATGATACCTCCATAGATTTGTCATGTGTGAACGCTCCTAGCAACCCATTATACTTCACCTGCTTTGAGAGTACATTGATTTTTTTTAGAAATAGCTCCATGACATTTAGTGCCAAGGATGTTGAATAAAATAGATAAATATCAGCAAAGATCAGCAAAAGAATTTTTAAAAAATAGAGCCGAGGTTATAAAATAGACTGGTTTTCTCATGCCATAAAGTATTTCTGAAGACAATTCAAATGGTATTTGTGAAAGACAAGACTATGTAAATAAATATATCAATTTATAAAGTTTAGAGGGCAATAGTTATTTGGATATAAAACTTCTATTTCATTTACCTAGAAATATAACATATGACCAACTCCAGTGGCAAACAGCTTGCCTTGAATTTTTATTACTCCCCGTTGTGGTTCAACTTGTTCTACTCGCAGCAGACTCCTAACCAATTATCTGCTGTTCCTGCAGACATTTTCTACACTATTTGTACAATTAAAAGACTAGGTAGAGGGAATCCCGGTGTGGAAATGTGGGACTGTGGTCCCTTGGACACCTTTGACCACAGCAACTGAACACAAACCTCATCCAATACACTCAATCAGAATCAAATCTCTTTTTGCACAGCTTGGTCTCTTATCATCTCACTGAGGTTTGTTCGTTCACTTTAATTTTAATTAAAAAGCCTTTCCTTTCTCCTGGGAGTAACACTAGAAAGAGGAAGATAAAACCATAGCAATATTTACACGTTCTCAGCTCACGTGCAAAAACTACTCTGGCATCATTAGAAGTAAAGGTGATCGAAACCACACAGCAGTCAAACTCAGATGGATAACCAGGGAAGAGGGGCAGAAGCAGTCATCTTTATAAAGTATTCTGCTTCAAAAAGATCTTTTTCTTTATGATAATATGCACAAATTATACAAAATCCATTATTCCTTCACGCCTCTATGGCTTTTATGGTGATTTCAGTAATCTGCATTTATCGCATTCATTAGGCACATCTTCAGGGCCCTAAATTAAATAAAATTAAATGGCAAACTGCTTCCAAATATTTGGAACAATATTAATTTGGAGGAAGGGATTGTTCTGTTTGCTGATCTTCTAGCTTGCCCTACTTTTCTCTGTCAGGATTTCACAAACAGCTGGTAATGCTGACTACAATGGGAATTAATCTTCCATAATATATCCATTTTTTTTTCTGAGCTTTACCCGTGAGTTCACAGGAAAACATTCTGAGCTTTGTAATTTTCTTTCTCAATGAGCCAATCACTCAAATTCCTGGTGCCAAGACTTCCCTTTACTTCATTCTTGCAAAATCAATTAAACAGGTTACACAAGCTGTACACACAAATATCAGTCTCTTCTCTAAAGCTACACTTGCATTTGTTAGAAGATTAATGCATTAGGCACATTGGAAAATACCATCAAATGTCTGGTTCACTGCGGACAAAACATCTGAGGCTTAAGATAAATAATGGCTCTTGTTACACTGTGATTCTAGTCTACCATATTTCTAGGATGGATTTCCCCCAAGTGAACGCCTGTTTCAATTAAGCCTGATCATCCAAGAGGCTTCTATTTTAAAATGGAATATAAAAGTCACAGATATCATACAGGCATACACATAGGGAAATGTCCTGTCCATTTGGGGTAAAATAATTTTTTTAATTTTTTATTTCCATAGGTTATTGGGGAACAGGTGGTGTTTGGTTACATGAGTAAGTTCTCTAGTGGTGATTTGTGAGATTTTGGTACACCCATCACCCAAGCAGTATGCACTGCACACAATTTGTAGTCTTTTATACCTCACCCCCTTCCCACCCTTTCCCCGAGTCCCCAGAGTCCCTTGTGTCATTCTTATGCCTTTGCATCCTCATAGCTTAGCTCCTACTTATGAGTGAGAACATACGATGTTTAGTTTTCCATTCCTGAGTTACTTAATTTAGAATAATCATCTCATCTGGGGTAAAATACTTAACCACAAGCCCTGCTGTCAGCCCGCAGTGGTCAGACAATTACCATGGGGCCCCTCTGCCATGGACATCCCATCTATGTTGGTCAACATGTCCCCAACCTGAATTCTTTTATTGCTTTCCTAGAAGTCACACACTTAGACAATAGTGTGTGTGTCTGTGTAAGTGTGTGTGTTTGTGAAGTGAAAAAAAGAGGTGGGTTGCCAGCTTCCCTCACAACATCCTCCTGCCTTTTCTTCACCACTGTGTTGCACACCTGTGGTTTGGGTGGGACTGACCCTACCCATAGCTCCAGGGATGGGGAAGGAAGTGGATCTAAACCCTTCCGGATCTGCATCTCTTGGTGTATAGTGGTTGGCTGAGGTGGACACATGACCAAGGCTGATCCAATCAGAGGGAAATCAAAGACCCTTTCTCATTGGTCAAGTGTGAGGGCGGGCTTTCCCCATGAAACAAGCAGTCTGCAAACAGAAAGCCTCGTATTGCTAATGCTTCCAGGAGGGAAGCTGGTCTGAGTACTAGAATTATCTTGGAATTTTTCTCAACATTCATTCCTCTGTGCACCTCAAGAATTGCCAAAGGTTCGGGCTGGCAGGTATATCTAGAGCTGATTCTTTTTGTGTCACTTCTCCCCTCCATTTTATAGGTAAAAGAACCAAGGCTGAAAAGATGGATTGACTTGTCCCATATCACACAGCACCACTATTTGGATTCAGCTTTTATTTAGATTTCAGTTGCTTCCCTCCATAAAAGGTTTTTCAATCACTTCATTTAAATGTGAAAATAAGCCGGGCACTGTGGCTGACATCTGTAATCCCAGCACTTTGGGAAGCTGAGGCGGGTGGATCACTTGAAGTCAGGCGTTGGAGACCAGCCTGGCCAACATGGTGAAACCCCGACTCTACTAAAAATACAAAAATTAGCTGGGTGTGGTGGCACACACCTGTAATCCCAGCTACTTGGGTGTCTGAGACACGAGTACTGCTTGAACCTGGGAGGCAGAGGTTGCAGTAAACTGAGATCATGCTACTGCACTCCAGCCTGGGTGATAGAACAAGACTCTGTCTCAGAAAAAAAAAAAAAAAAAAGAAGTGAAAATAATCCCTTAGTATTCAAACATTTGGACCAGCTAACAGAGAAAATGATATTATATCAAGAATTGTGAGGAAAAAAAGAAAAAGGAAAGCAATGCCTCAAAACCATATAATCAACAGCATAGTACATAGTACAAGGGCAATTAAAGTGTGCATTTGAGTGAGGGATATCTTGCAGAACCTGACAGTAGCAGTAATACAATTTTGTATCTAAAATTATGGAGAACTAGAATGACAGAATTGGCTGGAAAACTCTTCAACTCTTTATTTCACTATTCCTTTTCATATTTTTTCTGTTTCTGATATAAAATCCAGTGGATTTTCAAGTACTAGATATGGCAAAGACAACATGGTGTTCCCAAACCCACTTCCTCTACTTTGTGGGCACACAGCTAAACTGTTACCCAGTGTCCCTTGCAGAAGAGTGTGGGCATGTTACAGATTGGGGGCCACTGGAATGTGAGCGGAAATGGTGAGTGTGTTCTACTTCCTGGCCTTCAGCCAATCTACAACTGCCCATTCTCTTTCCCCAAACCGGAGACCTTGTAAGCTGTAGGTTGAAGATGACAGAATGACACAATGGAAGGAGTCTAAACTCCAGAATTACTGATGGAGCGGAGCCACCTGCAGATTAGAAATGCCAGCCGGACCTCACATAAGGGAGAAGCTTTCACTGTGTTAAAACACTGAGATTTCAGGGTTTATCAGCTTGTCAAGGTAATGTACCCAGTGTCCAACACCTTAACTAATACAGTAGGTACTGTCTAAACCAAAGCTTGTTCTTAAAAACATATACATGCAGCCTCCATTAGCTGAGAAAGCACAGCAGAGAGGGTCATATTTAAAACAAGACAATAAATAGGTGGTAAACTATCAGTCAGCTTCAGGGGCAGCTGTCTGCTACCCCCTCGGGGTCTGAGGATTCTAAACCACTGCTGAACCTATACTCATAATCAGTGATTTACCAAAAATGATTTTGAATGATGATGATAGTATTACTAAGTATACTCCAAAAGCAGAATCAAAGTCAAAATTGCTGCCTTCTCCCTACTTTGCTCTTGACGAAACCAGTAGTAAAAGTTGATGTTGCCAGGTCTCTGTCCAGAGAATAGTGTTTACAATTATCCAGGAAAATAAAATTGTCCCGGCTGAAACCATGACCTTGTCTATAAGGGCTCCTGCACTGTCACGGCCAAACAAGAGTGACAGCAGGCACCAGGGCAGAAAGAGTACAAGCCTACTGCACCTGAGGGGACATCAGGACTCCAGCCCCCACTCCACCACATGCCAGGGACATGGCCTTGAGCAAGTCACCAACTTCTCTTGGCTTTTGTCACATACCTGTCATCTATTAAATCAGGTTACCAAAGCCCAAGTTGCTCAGGGGGAGGAGGGCTGGAGGAGATGAAGGTTGAAATTATTTCAAATAAAAGTAAGGAAACAAGAAAGGGAGAGAGGGAAGGAGAAAGGGAAGAATGAAGGAAGGGAAGGAAGGAGGAAAAGAGGGAGGACAGGATATATTTTTCAAAAAAGACATTGAATTGAAATTAACAATGTGTCTGCAATGTTAGAAGTTGTTAAGAAAGATCAAGGTCACGTACGGGAACTGTGCGTGAGTACATGGAATAAGGCTGAGGACAGGAACTATTGTTTGGGTGCAGGAGCCATAGAAACAGGGCCCCCTAGGCTGTTTGGAGCCATGACTCACCATAGTGTGGGATGATGCTCCAGGCCATGGCAGATGCGTACAGGCCCCCAGTCATCCAGAAGATGCCCAGCCAACTGAGGTGTTCTCCTCGCTTCTCCCGAGACAAGAATTCAGAAAAATAGGCAAAAACAATCGGTAGAGCACCCCCAATACTGCAAAGGAAAAATGCCAGAGAGAAAGAATCAAGTCATACACTAAAAATGGTCACAGCAGAAACCAAGTTGCCTATACCCCACCTTAGGCTCTGTGGTGAAAGGACCCAGTGAATTTGAGAGACCGGCCAGTTAGTTCCTCTCTACATGTGGGAAGCAGTCTTGGATTATTTTGACATTGCATGCTGACTTCAGAGGCTAATCCTAACCCTAACTCTTTCTAAGGTTCAACTTTAATATAGTATCCTGAAAGTCAAACAAAAACTCAGTCAGTCCAAGGGTTTCTAGAGTTACCTCTTGGAGCTAGAATACCAGAATGGATGGGCCATTGGTCTGGGATGGTCCAGCTCCACCTCCCTAAGAACATACCCGATGCCTGAGATGAGTCGGCAGAAGAGGAAGGCTCCATATCCCTGCACGAAGGAAGAGAGGGAGGCGAAGGAGGCATTGACGGCCAGAGACATGCTGAGGACTCGCTTCCTTCCCAGCTTATCAGCCAGGCCTCCCAGGATGAAGGCGCCCGCCATCATTCCCAAGTAGACTATCATCCCTGCAATGAGGGGGAGGAGAGGAGAGAATAGAGAGAAAAGACAAAAGATTAAGACTATACAATGTTTACAAAATACAATGTTCATTTTTATTTATCCTAGAATTTCTGTGTCATAGACACAAAATGGTGGAATGTGATATTTGTGGCAAATTGGAAGTGCTATACAAATATGACTTTTTACAAATTTTATCTTAAAAATGGCCTCACATATACACAGACTAACACAGATCAACCAAAACTGAGATGGCTGTAAGACCAGTCATTTAGGTACATAATCTGCAGACAAGGGAAATGTTGTAATTTTTTAAGCAAGGAAAGTCTTTGTGTTGCAAAAGCCCTCAACTGGTGGATTATGTTTAAGGAGAGAATTTCCAGGGTAAAGTGTGGCAAAGTGGATATTAGGAAGGAAGAACACGGTAGAAGTGAAAAACAGCAATTGCCAGCAAGGCTGGCTATGTTATTACCATCCAAGAAGGACCTTTCTTCAAGCTACAACCAATGTCTAGCCTTAAGGAAATGTAGTATATTTGTATATGGTGTGAGATAAGGGTCCAGTTTCATTCTTCTGCATGTAATATCCAGTTTTCTCAACGCAATTTATTGAAGAGACTGTTTTTCCCCCTATGGTGTGTTCTTGGCACTTTTGTTGGAAATCAATTGGCCATAAATGTGTGAATTTATTTCTAAGCTCTCTATTCTGTTCCATTGGTCTATATGTCTGTGTTTATGCCACTACCATTGTTTTAAATTACTACAGTTTTGTAGTATATTTGAAAGCAAGTAGTGTGGTGCTATCAGCTTTGTTCTTTTGGCTCGACTGCTTTGCCTATCCAAATCTTTTGTGGTTCTATATGAATTTTAGGATGTTTTTCCTATTTCTATGAAAAATGCCATTGGAAGTTTGATAGGGACGGCATTGAATCTGTAGGTTACTTTGGGCAGTATAGATACTTTAACAATATTAATTCTTTCTATTCATAAACATGGGATATCTTTCCATCTATTTGTGTCTTCTTCCATTTCTTCATCAATGTCTTATAGTTTTCAGTATAAAGACCTTTCATTTCTTTGATTAAATTCATTCCTAAGTATGTTTTAATGTTATTGTAAATGAGATTGTTTCCTAGATTTTGTTTTCAGATACTTCATTGTTAGCATATAGAAACATTACTATTTTTATGTTGGTTTCTTATTTTACACCTTTACTGAATTTGTTTATTTGTTCTAACAATTTTTTGGTGGAGTCTTTAGGGTTTTCTATGTATAAGATGCCATCTGCAGAAACCATTTTACTTCTTCATTTCTGATTTGGATGACTTTTATTTCTTTTTCTTGCCTAATTGCTCTATGTTGAATAGAAGTGGCAAGAGTGGGCATTCTTGTCTTGTTGCTGATATTAGGGGTAAACCTTTCAGCTTTTCATTATTGATTATGATTGTCAGTTGTGGGCTTGCCATATGTGGCCTTCTATACCTAATTTGTTGAGAATTTTTATCACGAAAGGATGCTGAATTTTGTCAAATGCTTTTTCTGCATCTATTAAGATGATCATATGATTTTTATCCATTATTATGTTAATGTGGTGTATCACATTTATTGATTTGCATATGTTTAAACATCCATTCATGCCAAGGACGAATCTCACTTGATCATGGTGTATGATCCTTTTAATGTGCTGTCGAATTTAATTTGCTAGTATTTTGTAGAAGATTATTGCATCTGTGTCCATCAGGAATATTGACCTGTAATTTTCTTTCCTTGTAGTGTTCTTCTCTGGCTTTGGTATCAGAGTAATGCTGGATTTGTAAAATGAGTTTGTAAATATTCCTTCACCTTCAATTTTCTGGAAGAGTTTGAGAAAGGTTGGCATTACTTATTCTTTAAATGTGTGGTAGAATTCAACAGTGAAGCCAGCAGGTCCTAGGCTTTTCTTCGTCGAGAGGTTTTTGGTTACTAATTCAATCTCTTTAGTCATTAATGGTTTGTTAAGATTTTCTATTTCTTCATAATTGAGTGTTGGCGGATTGCATGTTTCTAGGAATGTATGCATTTCTTCCAGATTACACAACTGGTTGTGTGCAATTTTTCATAATAATCTCCTGTGATCCTTCATATTTCTGTGGTATCAGTTGTAATGCCTTCTCTTTCATTTCATTTCTAATTTTATTTGAGCCTTCTTTTTTCCTTAGTCTAGCTAAAAGTCTGTCAGTTTTGTTTATCTTTTCAAAAAACCAACTCGATCCTTTAACTATTACACTTTGCTGCTCTTTACAGATAAGCATTTGTTAGATTCCTTCTCTTTACATTAGTTCATTCTTTCTTCATCTGCTCACCCCCAGTATTGCTTGTCAAGTGAGGAATGGTTCCATCCTTTCAAGGAGATAAACAATAAAATGTATGATTATCTATGAGTGAGAAAAAAGGTGCTCAATAAAGGTATCTGTCAGGTATTATTAAAACCCAGAAGAAGAGCAAACCTTGGATATAATTCACTCAATGTGGGAAGGCTTCCAAGAGAAAGACATTGAGCTGTTCTTGAAAGACAAACAGAATTTAGTCTGATTTCCATTTGGTGACTGAGGCAAAAAGAAAGTCTGATATGTTCGGGCAACTTCTTGTAAGTAGCCTAGCGTGAGTAGAGCATAGTTCATGTAGGGGAATCTGGTGAGGGTTCAGGCTAGAAGGTAGGACAGAAGCCAGATCATAAACATGTGTGTGTGTGTGTGTGTGTGTGTGTGTGTGTGTGTGTGAAAACGTAGATGTATGGATGCATGCACGTGTGATTGTGTGTGTGCACATGGGTGTTTGCATGTATGTGTATGGGCCCATAAACTGAAAGCAGGGAGAGGGAAAAGAGACTTAGAGGAGTGCTCCAGAGATTTGCTGAGAACTAGTCTCCACACCCCACACCCTGAGTCCACCCTAGAGAAAAACACTAGCATCCAATAAAAGTCTATTTTTTCTTTTACTTCAATAAAGCTGTCTTCAGCACTTCTCAAACTTTACTGTGCACATAAATCACCTGGGGATCTTGTTAAAATCATATACTGATCCAGCAGGCCTGAGATGGGCCCTGAGATTCTGCATCTCTAACAAGCTGCCAGCTGAGGCCAGTGCTGCTGGTCTGGGGACCACACTTTGAGTAGCAAGAGGCTAGAGCACATCTGTCCTCCTGTAAACAGTAAATAATGATGAGAATCCAGGCCTTGGAACCCAAAGATCTCATTCACTAGTTGTATGATTTGGGAGCAAAACCTCTCACTTTCTGAGGGTATTAATCACCTCATTTATAAACCGATTACTGAACTAGAGATGATCTCCAAGTTGCCTTCCCATTCATTAATTTTAAATTAATTTTTTAAAAATGTAAATAATGAAAGATGAAGTACTGTGGATTTCCAAGGAAGAAGATATGCAGATTAAAAACATAAACTCAGACACAAATGTTTGATTAAACTACTTAAGGCCATACAAGGCATTTTTTTGTTTGTTTGTTTTTTGTTTTTTAGATGCTCTGTCACCCAGGCTGGAGTGTAGTGGCACGATCTCGGCTCACTGCAAGCTCCGCCTCCCGGGTTCACGCCATCCTCCTGCCTCAGCCTCCCTAGTAGCTGGGACTACAGGCGCCCACCACCACGCCCGGCTAATTTTTTGTATTTTTAGTAGAGACGGGGTTTCACCGTGTTAGCCAGGATGGTCTTGATCTCCTGACCTCGTGATCCGCCCACCTCGGCCTCCCAAAGTGCTGGGATTACAGGCGTGACAAGGATCTTTATGACATTGTACACATGGATCAAAATATCACAGGTGCTCCAAAATATGTACGACTATGATAAATGACTTTAAAAAGAATCGAATAATAATAATAAAGATATCCTTAACAAAAAAGTGGCTTCTAACCTACCAGTTTGCAATCTTAGCAATGAACACTGTGCAGTTATGAAATTATTGTCCCTCAGCTCCAAAGCCACCCTCCTAGACCTTACTTGGTCCACAAATCCCGGTCAGTTTTGCCAGCCACTCTCTGCTAGGCTCTGCCAATAGAGGGCGCTAGAGGGAGGCTTCAGGGCTGGGGAAAGAAGAAAGCACCTGTCCTTTCTGTTCCCTGTAGGTTTCAGCCTGACTGCAGCAATTCCTTTCTAGATAGCAGCTGCATCCAATTAGCAGAGGCCACATTGCACTTCATTCTCCTCTCCAACACCAGCAACTGCCAGCCAGGGCCTCTCTTAAGAGAGCTGAGTTGCAGCTTTATGGAACCCCTTTTCAAGATTCTAAGTTATAATCATTCCAATCTCTTTCCTTTATTCTCCAAGCCCTAGGGGAGGTAGCTTCTCCCTGCATTTGCTACCTCAGTGAAACTTTTCAAAAGCGTTTCACCCATCCTGTTAATAATTTTTACATTAAAATCTCTCTTTTCAAGTAACTGGTATGATTTGTCTCCTGACTATCCCATGACTGATCTAGACACCTAGACAAATTGAAAAACTTTACAAGTTAGATGTTGAATCCAACCCCTTAGTTTTACCAGACGAGGAGGCTGAGCCCCAGAAAGGGTCAATAACTTGCCCAGAACCTCAATGCTGGCCGAGGACCTGCTGGCACTGCATTTCTGGTCTCCTGGCTCCAGGCCTTGTGCTTTCACTACTAAACCTCACTGTCCAAGGTCATGGAGGTACCAGAGAGAATAAGAAGAGCTTCTCAAATGCTGTCTTTGAAGTCTAGGAAAAGGAAGAATGAAGGAAAAATGAGCCTATCACCAGGGAAGGGAAATACAAAATTAACAATGTCTCTGGAATGGCTATGTTATTAGACTCATTTAAAATCTGTCTTTAGCAAAAGAAATTTAAAAAATACATTTGGAAAATTAGAGTGCAGTGGAGTTATCAAAAATTACCTTAGTGTGAAGCAGATAAGGAACTAGTTAGAAAGCCAGAAATTCAATCTTCCCTCAATTTCACTCAACAAGCTCGGTGGCATATTAGGGAAATGATCCCTTAATATACTGAGATTTTTGAGGAAATTGAAAACCAGGATTGCTACTTGCAGAGCAAAGGAGGAAGAGGAGAAGAAGGAGGAGGAGGAGGAGGAGGAGGAGGAGGAGGAGGTTGAAAGGAGGAGCGATGTGGTGGAGTGGAAAAGACTTTTAATTGGTGGTAACACAACAAAGGAAATAGAATACCCCTCCTTGGAAGAGGGAGGAGCCTGCAGTGACAGGCACCATGCAAGAAAGAGCCCAGTTCTGAGACTGAGACATCTGGGCCATGGTCCTGGCTCCATGACTACCACAGCATGCCTGTGGGCAGCCCATTCAGCCTCTCTGACCACTATTACATCTTTGTAAAATTCGGTGCCCATCTTTGCAGAGTTGTTAGGATTATATAGGGGAGTGGATTTAAAGTATCTAGCAAAATGCCTGGCACCAAAGTAAATGCACATTTAATAAAAGCTGCTATTGATGTTATTAGCAGTACAGCTTAAAATTGTCTAGGACCTTGGAAAGCCACAGGATTAGAAAAATAAAAATAAGATGGTGATATTTTAAAAACAAGCCAATCATATACTAAAGGAATATGAGGAAAAAGGATAGAGAATAGCATAGGAAACTTATTTTTAGTAGTATGCCCTTTAAATAGACCTCCCTCTCTCCTTACCTGGAGAAGAAGCCAGCTTCCAATAAAAAGCTTTTTTTGAAAAATATTTTCGAAGTTTCCTCTAACAAGACTTTGAAGGGGGGATTTTTTTTTTTTTTTTTTGCTAACTCATATTTCTTCAGTTCCCACATTAAATGTCATCTCCTTAGAAAGGCATCCCTGATGTTCCAAACTAAGGCTCCACCAACTTTTTCTATAAAGGGACAGAGCATAGATATTTTACTTGTAAAATGTACTTTGCCAATCTTCTATGGTCTCTGTCACATCATATTATTATTCCTAAATTTACAACCCTTTAAAAATGTTAAAAAAAAAATTGGTCATAGGTTTGTAGACCACAGTTTGTTGGTTCCTGTTCCAAATTTCAGTCGTCCCTGATAGTCTTTTGGCAGCATACTATTGCTTTTCCTTTGTATCACATGTCTCTATTTGATGTTATATATTTATTTGTTTGATATTTGCCAAACTCCTGTGACTGTAAACTCCTGGACGAAGGGACCATGTTGATTTTGCTTGAGGAGAGTTCGACACTGTGTCTCTAGCACAGAGATGTACACATAGTAGGTACTCCATTAATATTTGTTCAATAAATAAAACAATCTAAAAGTAATTCCTATTCACTGTAAGAAAATCTGAGGAATACCCCCCAAAATGTATAAAAGGTAAAGCAATAATCTATTCATCATACCACCACTCAGAGACAGCTGTTGTCAGCAGGCTTTATTTTTGTATTTGTATTGGTACGTGTATAACTACATACTGTATTTACACGATAGAAATCTTTCTGTCTCGAAAGCTTCATAGTCTAGCTTTTCACTTAATAAACAACTCAGCAAAGAATATTTTATGCATATGTCTTTGTTGGTGTTTCTAGTTATTTGCTCAGAATAGATTCCAAGAAATCGAATCATGAGATCGAAGGAGATCAACAAGTTTGTGGCTCTTGAGACACAATGCCAAATATCCTTCTAGAGAGCTGGCAGATATCAGAAACCTCTTCTCAGCTTTAGAGATGCTTTTCACACAGACAGAAGATTTCCTCTCCACACCAGAGGCAGCAGGATAAGATGTACCATCAGACCGCACTGGCTTACCGTGGTGACAAGAAAGAAGAGGCCCTGACTGGGTGAGCTTCTTTATTTAGCAATTAACCAAAGACAAATAAACCACTTCTAACCTTTTTCTTGCTTGAATATGTAGAAATTAAATGCATTCATTATCCTGAGAGGATTATGAGCTTCTTTTTCCTGCAGTGACTCAAATATTTATTTGACTGTATGCATATGCTTTGCAGGAATAAAAATCAGCATCTTCCAACTAAACCATTTCCATTGCATCTATAATAACATCTCTAAAAAGTAATTCCTGTCATTTCCATTCCATTTATTTATTACTCAACCAAATATACCCCCCTTGAAGGGTAGTATTCTCTTGGACTAGGGCATGGGATTCACAGTTCCTCAAAGTGGTAAATGTGATAAATGTTTTAACATATATGGGAATCCCACAAAGAACTCTCACTTTGGTATTAAATCATGGAGGAACATCAGGGTATCCATCTGCACACCCTATGAAATAAGATGCATTGGGTAAGTCAGCCAGGTGCTTTGTTTATGTGGCATCTGGACGCTTGGAAACTTCTGGATGAGTAAACACTTTCTTTTGGGTCGAAAAGGTTTGGCTTTAACATGTCGTCTAGTGGAAACCAATCTAGAATCACCATGTTCGACTTTTCTAGTCTTTTATGGGTCCAGTAAACTCAAGTGAAGGAATCTTCAGAAGTGGGTTAACTTGTCCATTCTCTTGGTAGTTGGAATTCTTTCCTAAATGTCACATAAGATATTTGGATACAAATGTGTAGAGGAGAAATGAAGGGACAAAAGAATTAACATTTGTTGATCTCCTGCCATATGTAAGACACTGTGATAGATCACATGTATAATAATTTCAATTTGTCATTCCAACCTGGTGAGGGAGGTATTAATGGCTTCATTTAACAGATGAGGAAACTGAGGTTAAGAGATTTCCTCTCTGACCACAATTATTAAAGTATAAGTAAACTTTCCCAATCTCTGATGAAAGAACCTAGGATTATAGTTGAGTGAGTCACCAATGCCCCAAATTATGACATAGCCCATGAAGAAAGATACACTAATACTCTTCAAGGACAGCAGGGTTGGGGTGAGGCATTTGTCACTCTGCCTGAGGATGCAACATTCTCACTTGCCCTGGCCCCTCAGCTCAGGGCGAGCCACAGCACAGCAGAAGAGCAGAACCGCCCCTCCTGGAAGTTCTAGGTTCTGAATGTGTCCAATAGGCCCAGAGGTGAGGGTCTACAGGCAGATCAGGGAGTCTGAGAGACAGAAGCCCCTTGCTTCAGCAGCATTGGATTTAAGGACAGAGCCTTAAATCAGGAAGAAGTTCTCTCTCCAACCATATACAGGGGAAACTAAAGACTTTGCCTGGCAACCTAGAGACTTTATCATCGCAGGAGATGGATAACCAAGATGAAACCATGAGACAACATTCTGGGCCAAGCAGTGAGCAATGAGGAGACCCAGACCCCAGGTTCCTGGCTGTGTCTTTGGTGAGTAGAGACATATCCACAGCCACAGTGGAAGCAGCTGCAATAGAAAGGATTTAAGACAACAGTGAGGTTTCTGACTGGGGCTCACCTTAGCCTTGGGGCAGAGGGGTATCTGTCACTTTCCTTAATCTTCTCTCAGGCTAAAAAGAAGAGGCATTAAGACAGATTCCCTGAGGATACTTCAAGAACCCTGAAATTGCCTTGCTCACATACCACCACACTAGAGATGTTTCAGAAAAGCAGCTTCCCTTTTGGTGCCTCCAATCCAGAATGACTCCAGGTGAGACGGGTAAGAGGAGGTGTCACCTGGGCCAGTGGAGGTATGACACCTCTGATAGCTCTCCTGGGCACTGTGGGCATCTCAGATAGGATCATAACCCAATGAGGCTCAGTGATGCCTCTGCCATTTCACTTAAGACCAAGTTGTGGTCATTGCTAGAGGGTGGAATATTGTGTCTGATGAGATATAGGAATAGTCCAGGGGTCTCATAAGAGGGCAAAAGCAGATGCCAACAGGGCCCAGGCAGGTTATACAAATGGGTGATACTTCCAGACATCCCTAATAGGGAGTGTGGGGACTGAGAAATACATGCCCGTCTAAAGGGAGCAGCCACCACCTAACTTCAGCCAACTGCTGTGTTACAGAAGATAGACCCTATTCCTACAGTTTCAAAAAGAACCAGAAATCTAGATTGCTAAATAAAATCTCTGAGTTTTAAAACACTACTAGCCAAACAGTAGTTTCACCTACTATTTGAGAACCCTGTGTGACAGAGATTTGTGCAGCCTTTAATAGCATGTTCAGAAAGTGAGTATTCGTATTTAAAAAAATAATAGGTAACTCCTGGGTCAGATCTCTTCATCCTATGACGGTTACTCTTATTCTGCTATTCACCCTTTTATCAAGTATTAAGCAACCCCTGGATACTGATGTCCTATGCTCTCTCCCACCTCAGAGTCTTCACACTGCTCTTTCCTCTATCTAGAATGTTCTTTGTTCAGATCTTCGCATGGCTGGCTCCTTCTCATATTTCAGGCGAAATCTCAAAGAGGCCTTCCCTGACCATCCATCCTCAATAGCCTCTCCCTCCAACAGGTGGAATCGTAAAGATCAGTTAGCAGGCCACCACATGTATTTCAAGTGAATGACGCTGATGACTTGGGCCAGGTTGGTAGGTAGAGGAAAGTGGTAAGAAGTGGCTGGATTCTGGATGCATTTTAAAGGTGGCATCCAGAGGAAAGGTGGTAATGAAAGCAGACAACAAACACGATCCCCAAAGAAGTGACTGGCAATACACAAGAGATTCAAGGACTGAGCACTGAGACATTCCAACATTTAAAGGCCAGGAATATGAAGAGAGACCAGTGATGGAGAACAAGAAGGAGCAGCCAATGGGCAGGTGGAAAACGAGGAGACAGAGGTAGCTTAGATGTCCAATAAAGAAAGCGCATCAAGGAGGAGAGAGTGGCTAACCGTTAGAGTTGCTGTGAACAGGTGAATAAGCTGAGGATGAGAGCTGACTGCTGAACTGAGCAAGTGGAGGCCAAGAGTGATCTAGACAAGAGCAGGTTTCTGAAGAGGCGAGGATTAACTCCTGCTTAAAGATGAAACGTCCTCACTCATTCATTCTACTGAAAGTGGGTTCAAGTGAGAACAGAAAGTGAGGAACTGGGTTCAGTGAATTTTACTGGAAAGGGAATAGAAAAGATGTGTGTGGGATCAAGACTGAAGAAATGTGTAGTGTGCTGGTGGGAATGATTCCATAGAGAGATAAATATTGATGAGGAGGAGTTACAAAATGATGAGAAAAAGGATTACAAAAGTGATGTTCTGGGGAGGTGAGAGGGGATGGGATACAGGGAGACCAGTGAGCCTCACACCTCCTCCACTGTCACAAGAATACGGGGTCAGCACAGAGGCAGCGAGGAAGGTAGGTGTGATAACAGGGGCTATAGAAGTTCTTCTCCGGTTACTTCTGTTGTTCTCAGTTCAGGAGGAACTGAGTTTATTAATCTGAGAGTGAAGATGAGGAAGAGATGCTGGAAATTGGAAAATAGTGGATAAGACACAAAATAACCATCAAGGAGAGTGTGAAGGGATGAGGGAAATGAAGGATGATGGCTGGCAGCACAAAGGATCCTCTGGAGGCTCTGCATCATCAATTTAGTGAGGCCAGTGGGCAACATTGTATGTTCTGTGTTCCTGACCACCCAGGTGCAGCAACGGGGTTTAGGGACAGATGGAGGAAAAGTCGGATGCAACCAGGGGTGGGGAACACAGCAGAGTAAGAGAGGTGCAAGGAAGCTGGTGATGCGCACAGAAAGTGACTGTGATTATGGACATGGACATTAAGCTCAGTGAGGAATGTGGTGAGAACAAGGGGGTAATAAGAGGTTAAAAGTCTAAAGATTGGAGAGGACTTTAAGGAAACGACAGACCAGGATAATGGAAATCACTTATTAAAATCTCCAAGGACAATAATAGAGAGATGGTTGGAATGTGACCGTGATGAACCTGGAACTAAAATTCTCCAGGAATGAGAGCACATGGCCCAGTCAGTGGATGACTGCAACAAGAATGTGTAGTAAGTGATGCTCTCTGATGACAAGAGATTCGAATATGAGATCTTTTAGTGAGGAGAGAGGGAGAATGGCCTGGAAATGTCCAGGGGGAGCAAGAAAGAGCAATGGTACAAGAGTGGAGGCTGTGACGGGGCCAAGAGCACTCATCTGAGGCTGCAGGGCTAATTAACATCCTCAGAGGAGAAGGGGGAAACATAGGGGAACGGAGGCATGTACAGTGTCATACGGGAATGCAAATGTGGATGGTAAGGGGTGTCCTGGCAGACATGAACCTCTCACGGTGATTGACATACAGGGATAAAGAGCATAATGAAATTAGTCCTGATCTTGGTGGCAAGGCTGGTAGTACTGGGGAGAAAAAATGCTGGGAAGCTTACCAAGAATACATTGAATTCTAGAATCTTCTTTACTCTTGCCAGTGGAAAAATGGAGGTCAGAGAGAGCCATCTTGGTTTTTTGGGGTTTTTTAGCCTTTTTCTTTATTAAAATGTTGGCTCCATGACAGGACAGGAGGGACTAACACCTCTTGTTCATCAGTAAACAAGCCCGTGAGTAAGTTGACTCTTTTAAGGAGCTACTGAATAAAGTGAAAAGTTAAAAATATACAAATACCAGCTCATATTTACTGGATCCTTACTGTGTGCCAGGAACTGTGATGAGCCCTTTATGGGCTTTATCTTATTTAATCCTCACAATGCTTCTGTAGGCAGGTACTAATAGTATTTTAATATCACACATTAAGAAACCAAGGTTAGGGAGGTTAAGTTACTTGTGTAAGATGATAGGGTTAGTGATGTAGCCAAGATATGAAGTCAAACAGCCTATCTTTAAAAACCTTGTGCCTGCAATAGACTCTGTTGGTCATGTTCCCAACAGCCCTTTTCCCTCTTCTTCCTTGCTAAGGGAACCCTGGCTTTTGTTCAGGTATTAAACGTGTTCAGAGAGATTGCCTCCTCAGACACACTCAACCCTAAGGGATCAATCATAGTTCATTCAACAAGGTCCTCTTCATCCAATTCTTCTTGCCAGTGATTAATCCAGGCAAGCCATAAGACTTGGTGGACACCTGCCAGGTGATTGGAAAGCCATTATCGGGGGACTTAGATTAGAGCTATGGTGGCTATCTTGTGACCACCATGGAAAGTAAAGAGAATCGCAGACATGCCAACCTCATGCCCTGACATCAGTGAGTCATCGAACCAACTCTGGTACCACCTACTTTGAAAATTCTTGATCAATAAATAATGAGTATCTTTATGATTCAAAGCTATTGTTACCAGAAGCCAAATGCACCCTATACACATGCTGCCTTCTAAAAAAGAAACCATACTAATGAAAGACTCTATCTGATTGGTTTAAATAATCATCCCTCACAAGCAAACAGCAAGACAACTTGGCACAGGGGGAAGAATTCTGTGCCAATAGTCAGGAGTCCCAGATTCTGGTCTGAGAGTATATGACCTTGACCAAGTCACTTTCTCCTTGGGGCTCAGTTTCTTCAAGTCAGAAACGAAGGGCATGCTAGGAGGTCTCCTTCCTTTCTTTCATTTCTAATATTAGATGGTACTATAACTTTGTAATTCATGCCTTATACCTTATAATCTGTTACCATGTCTCCTTTCGAGCACAAGACTTCCTTTTCTAGGACCCACCGAGAGGTGAGGCAGAGAGGACAAGGCAAGGACAAAACTTCTTTGGACTATTTTCTGCACATCCCCAGCAGAGATTGATGAATGCCTCTGAGTCAGCAAAATCTCCAGTGGTGAAACAGAAAGCGTACACTCCACACATTCAAGCAGCCAGGCCAGCCCACACGGAGAAGAGGATGTTCACATCCAGCCTGTTCAGTGGACCCCATGGGGCATTTCAAAGGCTATTACATTTCCAGGACCTTCTATCACACCCCCTTTCTTCCATCCCTGCTAATATTTGTGACTTTCCAGCTTTCTTCTCTGAAATTAAAATCAAACCTTTGCAAAGTGAAAATCAGTTCATCTGAGCTAGTGCTGGTTAAGATTTACAAAATAAAGAGGAATTTTACACCCACTGGCCTCAAAGAGTCATTTTAGCTGGCAGTCATGAGCTCCACCGAGGACCCGAGTGTTCTCTGTCTGACCGGGTTGCTGGCGGAAGGGATGCGGGAAATTCTTTGTGCTCTGTTGCTCTGCTCCATACTTAGTGACGGATCATCTCTTGGGCCCCTGACACAAAGGATGGCAATGTCACCACTCAGCTCTCTGGCAGCCTATTCTAGGCTGACAGTCTAGCCTCAGGGATCACTGCAGACCCCTGCAGTTTCCCCTTCCAGTGAAATCAGCTGGGTGCTGATTTTACACCCACTGGCTGAGACACAAACAACATCCCTCTCTCGCCTACAGAGATGGGCTGGCACTGACTCCAGCACCCTGAGAGGCCAATGCCAACTTCACACTTGCATCTTATTGGAGTCATGCATTTTGCATAGAAGTTGTTTAAGGTTATATGTGTAATGCGCACCTGGAAAAGTCTTCCAGGGGTGGGACAGCAAGATAAAGGAGAAGCAACAGACTTTGAAGTCAGATATAACTGGATTTTTGAAATCCTAGATCTGTCACTGACTAGTTTTTCCAAGTTACTTTACCCTCTTAGAGCCTATGTTTTCTCATCTGTTAAACAGTGAAAATCATGTTTGTCTTTCAGGTCATTATAAAGGTTAGAAATGGTATAATGTAAGATACCTAGTACAAAATGGATGCAAAGAAAGAGCTTATCAGATTATAACTCTTGGTAGTGGTGATAGTAGTATAATTATTATAATTTGATTTTAAATTAGAAAAAAAGGAACAGGTTATATAAGACAGTGGGAAACAACTGATTTATTCGTATCAGTTTCTTTTGCTTTCTATGAAGAAGTCTGTATGGGAGAAAATAAACCTTTCAACTTCATTCATATAAAGGAACCCACAGTAACAATGAGTGGCAACACAGGACAGGAAAATCACATTAGGAACTGGGGTCCAGCACTCATGCCTTAAGGTCTCTGAGCAACACTCCCCTCATTGCATAAATACAGACTATCACTCTACTCATCTCACAGAGTCATTTAAAGACCAAATAAGAGCGATTAGGAAAACCATTGAAAATCTGTAAAGCACTGTACAAGATTTTTTAATGCAGTTCCATTTTTTCATGCTACCGAAGATATGTGCAAATATTCCAAACATCATCGCAAATACAGGAAGGAAGCCATGTGGGGATCGTTCCTACTTTTTAATACAGCTCGATAAGCAAAAACCCTGCCATCTCAGCAGCTCCTACTGATACACAGTCTTTGTCTTAAGCAAAAACCCTGACATCTCAGCAGCTCCTACTGATACACAGTCTTTGTATAAACTACGTGGTTCTCTACTCTGGCTGTACAATAGTGTCACTATGGAGCTATTAAAAAATGTATATGCCCATGACTCATCCATAGACATTCTGGCTTAGTTATTCCAGAGCACAGCCTGTGCTTTTTATCAGCAGCTCCTCAGGTGATTCTATTGGGCAGTTAGGATTAAGGACATTCATCTAGTGCAGTGGTTGTCAACTGGAAGTGATTTTTCCCCCCAGGGGACATTTAGCAATACCTGGAGACGTTTCTGGTTGTCACAACTGGGAGCAGGGTGCTACAGGCATCTAGTGAGTGGAGGCTAGGGATGCTGCTAGGCATCCTACAATGGAAAGGACGGCCCCTCAGAACATGGAATTGTCCAGCCCAACATGTCAATAGTGCATGACTTTGAGAGGGGCCACACAGAGGACTCATTCTAAAGAAAGTCAGGAACTGCCCATACTGCACAAACATAGCTCAGCAATATTTCTGGTTTCACATGCTCTCCAGAACCTTGTCATTTCCTCCATTAGAAGATGGAGTCTATTTCTTCTTTTTGAAATTGAACTGGTCTTTATTACTATCTCAACAAATAGAATTCAAGGAAATAACATGCCTGACTTCTGAGGCAAAGTCACAAAAGGCTTCTGCTTGTCTTTCTCTCTCAAGATCTCTTTCCAAGCCAACAGGTTAAAAAAAAAAATCCAGCTACCCTGGAGCTGCCATGTTGGAAAGATCACATTTAAAGATCGTATGGAGATAGAGAGAGATGCTCAAAAGAAGCCCCAGCCATCTGCGTCTTCCAGTTTGGGTACCAGATATTTGTGTGGGTGAGCCCTCCGATGATTCCAGCCCCCACCTTCCAGCTGCCCCAGGTAATGTCAAGTGGAATAGGGGCCAGGTGTCTGCCCAGACTGCAGATTTATAAGCAAAGTAAATGGCATGGAGGTTTTGGTTCTACGGGGAGTATATGTTTGCTTGCTTGTTTGATATGTAATAATAGATAACCAGAATAAAGTCCTTTATGATTCTATAAAAGATCCATCTCTAAACCCTCTTCATTGGGCCACCAAGGTCAAAAGCTTACATATACTTGTACAGGGAATGAGTTTTATATATTTCCAGCCCACTCCCAACTCTGCAACTTCCACCTCCATTCTCAGTAAATATGCCAGTTTACTTAAGAATTCCTCCCATTCATTTCTGTTGTGCTTTCTGTGGTCTGGAAGATCATATTTTCCAACATGTGGGTCAAGGGTCTTATGGGTCTTTTTTGTTCTTGGTGAAGTTTTCCATTGTGGAAGCAAATATAAGCATAAATATAGGTGAATCAATACAAATAAATAAATAACATATGTTTATTCTGATAATTAGCAAATTGGTAGTTACTAAACATCTTTCATTTACCAGGTCTTCCAGAAGGGTGCACTTAACTGTGGAGGAAAAACAACTCATTAAAGTCTTTGAAGGTGACATTGCCAAGGGAGATATTCTGCAGGCAAAGTGGACAGAATGTCCTGAGACATCCTTGCTTTAATCAATGTTGAAACAACTGAGAAGCTAAAACATCAGGTTTTGCAGTTGGATCAGGGGAGCAGGATGAGTACTGACTAAGCACCTACTGTGTGCAGATCCTGAGCAAAGTAGTTACGGCAGTTAGCAGGGGTAATTGCATTTAATTTTCCCAACATCCTTGGGAGCTAAGAACCATCCTCTACTGCCCGGTCTTCTCTCTCTCCCCCTCTCTATCTCTGCATCTCCCTCTCTTTCCAGACATTCCTGTTTATTCCCAGTAAAACTAAAATCTACACAAGCTCCACATATCTTTGATTAAATCTTGATCAAAATCCAATAACTCAGAAACTGTAAGTTTCAACAAGGAGTTAATAATTTAAAGTTGTTGACACAAGTGCTTTTGAGACTGGTAGTAGGCTCTCTCCTCTGATGTTGGAATAAGCTGAAAGGCACAAAAAATAGCAGTAGACAAGTGGGGAAAGTGTCACATTCAAAGCTAAATCCATACTGAATCTGTATCTCACATGATAAAATGAGTGTTTTGTGTGCAAGAACTTCTCCTCGAGAGATTTTTTTTTTAACCCCCGGTGGTTTAATTGTGAAATTGCTCTTAATCTTGAGAGTACGGAGCTTGCTTTTTGGTTGGCTGGCTAGGTGGTTGGTTGGTTGACTGTAGAAAACTTATTTCTATTCATTGTGTGTTAGTTACAGAAAAGTGAATTTACTCATAAGCTTTGTAATAGTCAACCCTCTGACTATGAATTCACCGACTGTATTATAATAAACGCAGCCCACTGTGTAAAGATGTAAATCTCTTGATGTTAAGAAGGGTTTTCTTCCTTGCATAAACTGTACAAGAAAATAATGGTGCTTATAGCAGAAATGTCTTTAAGGCCTACATAAAAACCTCAATTTTTCAAAACACTCAAATGGCTTCTACTATTACCTCTAAAGACTAGTTTAGGAATTGCATATTTCTTTCTCCAATAACATTCTATGGGTTCTCCCACCTCCAGTCTCTCTCCTCAATGATCCTTTCTTCACCAATGTGGTGATTCTGCTAGTTGCTCAGGATGTCTCTTCTAATTATGCATTCCTGAACTGGGGGGAAAACCACAGAACAAGCTTGAGGACCCGCTGTGAGATGGACCTGAGCTAAAACTCCATTGATCACCTAACCACCATAAGCTCCTACTCTGACTGATGGGCCACAGTGACGTTTTCAGTCTCTTGGAATTAGTGTCAGTTCAGAGCAAGTATCTTCAAAAGGTCTGACTATTTTCCTTTCCCCAATGCACAGTCACCTAGTAAAAGCCCACAGGTCTCTTTGGGGAACACTGAGAGAAAGATTAATGGTATAAATTTTTGGCAGTGTACTGGGGTCCCTCCTCAAGGAGATTCAGCCTCCCTTTCATTCAAGGGTTTCTGGGTCTGTAAACTGGCTCAAGTCTGGGAATTGACCAAGAAGCCATGATGCTCTGTTTCTATATTTCATGAGACTTCTGTTCACTTGACCTAGAAGTTTACTCTTATACAGATCAAGTAAGAGTTTAGTAGACCTCCTATTTATTTCATTTCTAAAAATGCCACAATGAACTAGCCAGTACCACAGGTCTACATAGGTCAGACTGTTCTGATTTCTGCTTTGCCTCTGCTGTCCACTACAATAACCACACTCCCCTTGCCTTTGGTGACTGAGTGCCACCACTTGGCCCTTGCACCCTGGGATCCAATTATTCCCACTGCATTTAGGTATTGCAACTCCATGACTACAGTCCACACTGTAAGGTCTGTTCCAGAGAGCACAGTAATCACAGATCTCTTTAAGAACACTGAGGATCCCCTCAAAAAACTCACATAGTCATGGTAAAAGATGTGTCCTCTGAACCCTCCAAGTGAGGGTGAGTAAGTCTGAAATGAAAAATCCGCTCTAACATGCAAATATTCCTAGGCCTTTCAATCTCTTCCTCTACCATAAACCAACATAGGTCTGGCATTTCGACTTCATTTACTATGGGCCACATTTTGGTCTACATTTCAGCCAACCAATGAAACAAATAGTAGAGTTTTTTCCAGCCCTACAAGCTGCAACATTAAATGCAGAATTTCTGCTTAGTGGGCCCAAATCAATAAATGTAGCCTGACCCAACTTTATGTTTCTTCCACCAGTATCCCACACCCTTAATATCCATTCCTACATATACTTTCCAGAAAAATCAAGTCATTCTTTTGGAGTGTAACCACCTCTTCATGGTCCACACGTTGTGCCTCACCTTTAGAGGCCTGATGGGACTTGACTCTAGTTACAGGTCTAGAAGCAAAGAGGGGTGGAGGGGTTGGGTCCTGATGAGAATCAGCAAGTCTTGCAAGGCAACTGCCTCAGGAGAGGCAATTACAGACTCCTCAGTCAATGCAAAGTTCATCTCCTCTGAATGGGGGCAGAGAGGATGCTTATAATGGCAAAGAAGACTCATCAGAATGTAGGGGCTCAGTGTTCCCAATTTCATCAGTCTTCCCACACATCCCCATGCTAACTTTCAGGATCTCATTCCTTCCCAATCAATGTTCTCACTTTAACAGAAGACACCCTGCAAGGCTGGGAATTCAATTTTCACTATAATTCAGCCACTCACAGAATGAGATTCTGGGTTTGGTTTTCAGCAATCTCAGGAGATAAGGATCTCTTTCAAGGGAAACACAGAAGCTTTCAAATCCTTTATGCAGCATTTGAACTGGGAATTTGAATCCTTGGGCTCATTCATTTCTTTCCCCCACTTTGTCCAGTAACATTAGTGCTAACAGCCAAAGTCTTTATACTCATTAGTTTCACAAAAATGTTTGAAGGTATCATGTACTCGGTCACCCAGATTCTTGCCTATTATAAGTATTTGATTAGATGTATCTAGTGATATTTTATGTATCTTCATTGCCACGTCACAACATGGACTATCAGTGCTCTCTTTACTCCTAGAAATAGAGTCAAAAGGGTCTTTAACGTCGAATCAACATAAGTGCCCATCAACGGGGGATTGGATAAAGAAAAGGTGGTGCATATACACCATGGAATACTACACAGCCATAAACAAGAACAAAATCATATGTTCTTTACAACAACATGGATGCAACTGGAGGCCATAATTCTAAGCAAATTAATGCAGGAGTAGAAAACTAAACACTGCATGTTCTCACTTATAAGCGAGCGCTAAATATTGGGTATTCGTGACATACAGATGGGAATAATAGACACTGGGGACTACTGGAGAGGCGAAAGGACTGAAAAACAGTTAGGTTCTTTGCTCACTATCTGGGTGATGGGATCATTTGTATCCCAAACCTCAGCATCATACAATATATCTATGTAACAAACCTGCACATGTACCCACTGAATCTAAAATAGAAGTTGAAATTATATTTTAAACGTGAAAAATTCAAAAGGAACTACTGCTATAACAATATGTCACACTCAAACAATAAACTCTTTAAATCTAATCAGATTAGAAAGCCAATTCCAGAAACCCCAGAACCAATTCAGACAACTCATCCTCAAAATTCCGCTCCTCTAGAAGCACTCTCAGTACCAAAATCACTGGGGCAGAGTGATCATCCTAAACCACAGGCCCCATCTTATCACCTCCTTCCTCAAAGGCATATTTCATAGCTCCCCATTAAACAGCTCTCCATTGCCGGTGGAATCAACTCCACACTCCTAAACACAGCAATCCGTGTACGTCTGCTAAGGGAGCCCTTCATTTTAAGTCTATTCTATTTCTTCTGATGGTTTTTGTTCTCACAAGAGCATCAAGTAATCAGTCTATCCTGAAGAATTACATGATCTAAACAGTATAAATAAGAACAACTGATATAAATCAAACACAGAAAGAAATACATGGACATTCCCAGTGGTGGATTTCACCATCATGAGTAAGTAGGTAAATACTTGGTCACTGAGGACATATTTTGTGCCACAGAAGTGACCCCCCTCCATGCCACCCCCTTCTGAGACACAGAGTGGCTCCTCCTTTCAGGAACTGACAATGAATTTAGGCCTAAAGAAAACACGGCTCATAAATCAAATATTATGCCCTGATGCTCGGCTAGAATTTGCATATAAAACAATCACAAGATAATCTTTCACGACAGCAGAGTAATATATCTATCTCTGAGCTGCTATGAAAATTCAGCTCACAATTTATTCTAATGAATCTGCCCCATCTGACATTGCTCTGTGTCCTCCGTATGGCTGGCACAGACACCATGCCCCAGGGGTCAACTGTTAGATTCTAAATCACTTTCTGAAAGGTATAACTCCCAGAGTCTTTTCACTGCAGACGGCAAGAAACTAACAGCCAATAAAATACACAAGTCACTGGATCCTTCCAAGAAATGAAAACTCTGCAGGCAAAACACGGAACTCTTGCCTGAAAGTGAAGCTCACTATTATAGGCATGAAGGTAGGGAATAGCCCACAGTTCCAGGTTGAGGTGCTTATTTGCAGTTGTGAAAAATTGGTGTCAATTTATCAAATGCAGGCAGAAAAGGATGGGGTTGGTTTGCCTTACGTGTCGCCAATATTGTCATCCTATAGGTTGGTGCAAAAGTAATTGCAGTTTTTGCCATTTAATAGTAATAGCTCCAGGGAGACAAGGCTCCCACACTCAAAAAATAAAGTATCTTTAAATCTAATCAGATTAGAAAGCCAATTCCAGAAACCCCAGAACCAATTCAGAAAACTCATCCTCAAAATTCTGCTCCTCTAGAAGCACTCTCAGTACCAAAATCACTGGGGCAGAGTGATCACCCTAAACCACAGGCCCCATCTTATCACCTCCTTCCTCAACGGCATATTTCATAGCTCCCCATTAAACAGCTCTCCACTACCAGTGGAATCAAGTCCGCACTCCTAAACATGGCAATCCGTTGTCAGTGATGTCATTTGTAAGAACCAAAGGGCTTACCTTGCCACATAGCCCTGAGCTTCCTAAGTTTAATCATTTCTTCGGGTGATTTTTTTTTTACATACCCAGAAAATGCATAATTATCCCATGAAAGGTTAAAATACATGTGGATTCACTCATCAACCACCAAAAACTGTGGAATCTCAGAAGAAAGACTTCAGATTGGCCCAAGGTCACACAATCATTAATAGAGCAATTGCAAAAACAAATCACCTAACTCCAGAACGCCCCCCAGCCCATCAACCTCAAGCTCTATCCCTTCACACTGTCTTTGTTTCCTTCCTATCTGAATAAAAGTGATAAGGCTGAATGTTGCATTGCATGATTATGTCGTGGTGTTTGTGTTTAACATCTCTGTGTGACCTCTATTTCCACCATTAGAATAAAACTCATTGAGTGCCAGGACTTTGTCTCCTTGTATTGCTATAAACCAGAGGAGTACCAGGCGTGTGGTAATGTTCAAACATTTTTTAAAAGAATGGGTGAAGAGTTTAATTAACAAATGAATGCCTTCTTCATTGAGAGTTGAAGGAGACCAACTCCTGGACACTAAGCAGGGTTGAGCCTTCAATGTTAACAATATACTCACAGATCTTTTTCTTCCCCAAGTGAGACAGTTCTAGATGAAGATCCAATAAAACATAACGCTCAAGAGAAGCAAACATTCATCTTTCTAAAAGCTCAGAAAAATAGGACAGCAGCACCCAGATATTTTTGTCACCTGGCCAAGGGATATTTCTTTATTTTCCAAATGGATTCATTCATTTCCAGGAAAAAAATAACAAAATATCCTATGATTTGACACTTGAATTTGGGAGTGGAGATTTCTCTTACTGAATTCCTTTCCTGGGCCATCAAGTAGGAGTCAAGAGTAAAGACATCACTTTCAGCGACTTTCTTTTTCTTTTCTTTTCTTTTTTTTTTTTTTTTTAAATGAGACAAGGTGTCACTCTTTCACCCAGGCTGGAGTACAGTGGCACAATGATAGCTCACTGCAACCTCCGTCTCCTGGGCCCAAGCAATCCTCCCACCTCAGCCGCTCAAGTAGCTGGAACTACAGGCATGCACCACCATATCTGGCTAATTTCTTTTGTATTTTGTAGACACGGGTTTCACCATGTTGCCCAGGCTGATCTCAAACTCCTGGCCTCAAGTGATCTTCCCACCTCAGCCTCCCAAAGCACTGGGATTACAGGCATGGGCCACCACACCCAACCAGAGAGTTTCTTTTTAAAACAGAGAGAGGATGGGGAAAGACAGAACTGAGTTAGCAGCACTCAAACATAAACAGCCTTTTCGCCAGCTGAGGCAGGATAGCTTGACCTTAGAAGTCTACCATAAAAAACATTGGCTGAAAGAAATTTGCAGTCTCACCTGAGAAAATCTGTTCCTGAGTCATTATCAAGCAATCAGTTTAGTAATAAGAACAACCACAATCGACAATAATAATAACTAAGATATCTTGAGCACTGATTAGGGGCAGGTACTGTTTTAGTCATGTTAAATGGATTAACCTTATTTAGTCCTCAGAATAATCCTATGAAGTAGATACTATTATTATCTCCATTTTGCAAACAAGGAAACCAAGGCACAGAGAAGCCAGGCAACTTTCTCAAAACCACACTACTAAGAACTGGCACAGCAAGGATTCAAATCCAAGCAACTGGCTCCAGGGCCACGTTGCTTCGTCATCTCACTGCAGCTATAGTTCACTGCAAATGCCCGATGGGAGAATGGCAGAATATAAAGTAACGAGAACTAATCATTGTTGAGAGGGCAACAAGCGCTGGTTGCTTTACACCTGCATTATCTCATTTAGTCCTCACAGCACTGCATTACTGCTCTTATTCTACAGATGGAAACACCGAGAATTAGAGGAGTCATAACTTGCCCAAGGTCACTAGCAGATCGATGACATGTAGGACGTACCCAGTCGCCAAACCCTAGAGGTTGGACTCCAGTGCCCACATCATTATCAGCATACCATGTTCCCTTTCTGTTGGAAGCAGTCTGGTGTTCCAAGTAATCTATGAGGTGCTTGATGACACAGAGAGCAGCCTGTGCACGGCATGACCTCCTTCCCACAAACGAGGCGTGAGAGAAAGGCAGTATGGTGTGGCAGAATGGGCATAGACTTTGAAGTCAAATAGACCTTCGGTCAAACCCCTGCTCAACACTTACGAGCTATGTGACCTTAGATAAAACTCTCTGAATCTGTTTCTGCATGTTCACACTGAAGGACAAAGATCATCTAACCGACATGGTGACTCTGAAGATTCCATGTGACAGCGTGTGGAAATTCTGGCCTCATGAAATCCTCAAATCATCCAGCCCCCTGGATCCATTTAGACACTCATTTTCTTGACCACAAAGAGGTTCCCACGAGTGCATAGGAAGTCCATCTATGTTCAGAGGGTCTGCCTTCTCCACTTGGGTGGAGTCACTGCATCTTCTGGGCAGACACTAAAAGCAAAATTACAAAAACCTGGACTCTCAGATTAAGACCATGTTCCCGCAACTCCCAGCATTTGCCCTAGGAGCCAGCAAGAGCTGCAACCATACTGCAGCCCTGTTAATGAGGCTGCCAGGCACCACGGTGCCAGAGAGACCAGCAGGCCATGAAATCATTACCGACATTGCCAATTTGGACTCACAGGGACCCAGGGTTTCAGTTGGGAATACTGCAAAACAAATTAATGTCTCAGAAATGTTTACATCAGTTGGAGATGGTTTTGTTTTGTTTGGGGTCTTTGGTTTTTGTTGGTTGTTTGTTGGTTGCTTGGTTTTGTCCTTTGAAAAAAAAATCTATTATTTATACTTAAAAGCAGGTAGCAGAATTTTTTAATATGAAAAAGAACTACACTAAAATTATGTTGGTGTTTAAAAACTCCAGGTGATATCTTTGCTTCTCAAGCCCTTTCTTCTGTTTGCATATACTCTGTCTCTTTTGGTGCCCTCAGGGTTATATCTGACACAGTTCTAATCATTTCAAATGGCCCTTTAGTTAAACACAAACGTGTAAAACCATTTTTAAGAGCCCCCAGGGACAATTTTTTATGCAGAGGTTCTTTATTTTATATCTCAATTTTATTTACAGTGGCCCTAAATCAGGGGATTGCAAACTGCAGCCCGCAGGCTAAATCTGGCCCACTGACCATTTTTTTGTAAATAAAGTCTAATTGGAACACAGCCCATTTGTTTACGTGTTGTTCAAAGCTGCTATTGTGCTACAGTGACAGAGTTGAGTGATTGTGACAGAGACCATCTGGGTCTGCAAGGTCTACAATATTTACTATCTGGGTCTTTACAGAACTGTTTGCTAGCTCTTGCTCTATAGCAAGTATCGGGGACCTGAATCGCACCAGGTATTTCATAGAGACTGTCCCTACAGTAACCAAATAATTCTCTGTGTTTGTTAATGTCTGTTTGTTCAACTACATGCAAATTATTTGAGAGACAAAAGCTATTTTCTTCCCAGATCCTGAGCACAGAGTCTAGCATAAGGTAAACCAATAAAAGATATTTGTTGAATGAAGGAGCTGAATTGCTAGATAGATTTTGAGCTCTTGAGGGTCATAAGCATGTCCTGGTCTTGAATGAGAATTTGACTTATAGTTAGTTCTCATAACTACATGTTTGCTGCACAATTAATTTCATAGACTCTAAATTTAGAGGGTAGATACATTTTTCAGGACATTTGGTGACTAAAGACAAATGCTTGTCCATATGATGATGAATCTTTTCTACATCACACCATTTGTGCACACCGTCTCTCTAATTTCACAAATCCTCTCTGCCTCAGCCTGATGCTGATGCTTGGCTCTGATGGTGCTGATCTCTTAATTGATTTGCAAAGCTGGTCCTCTATCCTGCAGAATCCATCTGTGCTTCACAGCATGGTTCCCAACAGCCTGCAGGGACTCCACGGGTGTGCTTAAGCCCACCATTCATCCCCAGGGTATGTGGGCATTCAGCCTACTAACATTTATGTACATGAGAAACCAGGAACAGACACCATCGGACTCTGGAAAGACACAGAGAGAAGGACCAAGTGGAAGAGACCAGCCAGAGATCTCTTCCCAAATGTATTTGTCATTTGGACATGGAAGAAGGTTTAATTTGCCACTCCCACATTTGCCACTCCCAAAATGTATTTGTCATTTGGACATCGAAGAAGGTTTAACATGAAGAAGAAAGAAATCTGACTCTCAAGGAGGCAACAAGATCTGGAAAGCAAACTAAGAGCTCAGAAGTCAGATAGACCTCAATAGAAACCTAAGCTCCAATACTTATTAGCTGTGCAAACTTAAGTCAATCAATTGATTTCTCTAAGACAAAAATTCCTTCACAGCAAAATGGGTACATTGTGATATATTTAAAGTGCCTAATAGTGACAGATACTAGATAAATTTTACTTCTCCTTCCCTTTCATTGGAGGGATCATTGGAAATTTCCACTTACCTAGCATTCCTTTTTTGGAACTGGACAGACACATGTCCTTCTCTGCACTGGGCAGGGCAAAACTCACCACGAACACTTCCACCCCATCGGCCATCAGGGCCAAACCCAAGACGAAAAAGAGGATCCACTGGAAGCGGCCATGGCCACACTCATCCATGATGGTCTCGTACTGGTGGGCCAACTGCTCCTCATCTTCCAGCCTCTCAGCCATCAGGTCTGTCTGGCCCCGAAGGCTGTCCATTCTGGAGGGCGCCATCTTGGCCTGCTTGGCCTTGACATCATCTGGGTGAGGGATACCCTGGTACTCGCCCTCATAGATCTCGTCTTCCTCATCATGGCCTTCGGTGACATCACTCTGTGCATCTTCTTCTGGGTTGGACTCATTGCCGCGGTAATAGCCATCACTGGGAGCATAGCCCCCATAATTGTCCTGATACTTGTAGTCATCCATTCCTTGGTTCTGCGACTGCCTGGTTGCCCCTTGAGCTATATCCCTCGCTCTGTGGTAGAGGTTTGGGCTATTTCAATAACCATCATTCATTATGTAGTTCAAATGTGAAATATGTTCATGTGACTTCTTAGGTGAAAGTCACACTGGTTCCCCCCCCCTTTATCTCTCAAATCAACCAGATTTGTGCAAAGACAACCTAAATATCCTTTTGCACTCGATGTCTGTTGGAAGTCTGGAAAGTTTCAAGCTCTGGTCTCCTTCAGAGACTCAGAAGTGTTGCGTTGGGAAGTGTTGATTAGAAATGGATCCAGCTGTTTTTCTTGACAGGGAGCGAGCAGGACTTGGCAGACTGCGTGCTGGCCTGATTTGTCCTGCCACCGAAGGTTATGCTCTGAGAACAGAGAGAAGGGATAGAGAAGAATTTACAAAGGTTGAAATTCTAACAAAATACTCTCAGAATTAAGCCAATATATTTGGTAATGCCAATGCCTCATGTGTAAGGTGGGAGAAATCTTATCAGACATTCAAATTTCTATCAACTGAATGAGGATTGAATCGGTGAGAGTGGAGGCTAAAGGAGAAGGAACCGTGGTCAGAGAGGCCCTTTGAAGCTCTAATTGACCCATGAAATGGGTGCAGCAAACCAGCATGGCACATGTATACATATGTAACGAACCTGCACGTTGTGCACATGTACCCTAGAACTTAAAGTATAATAATAAAAAAATAAAATAAAATAAAATAAAAATGTTATGCAAGAATGAAATATAAAGTGGTCAAGGGATTTATACTCTAAGACAATTTTGTATTATGGATTTTCTGTTAGAACTTATCAAGCCTTTGGCAATAGTGGAGGTTATTATAGCTGTTTCTGCTACGAAAATGCCGCTTTTCTAACTTTGTCGTGAAGTGGCTGTACGATTTAACATCTAGAAATGTATGGCCAAAAAAAATAGCCGGAAACATTTTTCTTGAATCCCAGCTTACTTTTGAGACTCAGCATTGTGGTTCAAAGGCCACTCTGTCCTCATATGAGGCTTAAACAGGCAGGAACAGGGGGCTGAGGATACAGCCAGATGACCTGGGTCTGAAACTCAATTCTGCTGCACAATGGTCCATGTGACCATACACGCATCTTTCCAAGCCTCAATTTTCTCCTGTATAAAATGGGATAACAATAGTACTTAATTCATAAGGTTGTGCATAAAGTACTTAGAATCGTGCCTGGTCTGCACGGGTAAATACTATTTAAGCCTTGACATGAGTGTTGCTTCTTTTTTTTCCCCTAGTTCCAATTCTGGACACCAGGAGGCAATGTTGTCTAGAGCCAAGATCTCATCCTATATCCCAATTCCAATCAGAGTCCCTCTGTTGACTCCTTTGCCCAGTGGATTCTCATTGTGCCTAGAATCTCAGGTTTCACAAGGCTTGGGGCCACCATTTATTGTGGCCTACTGTGTGCCAGAACATGTGCTGAGTGTATCACATCTCTTATCTGTAATTCCCACAACAGCAAAAAAAGAAAGAAAAAAAATCATCTGTATCTTCATTTGAGAGATAATCAAACTGTCTCCGAGTGGGTTAGTAACGCGATCAAGGTCACAGCATTAGGACCAGGTCACTGGTCCCAAAGCCAGCTCGTTCCAATGTCCTCATACTTCCCAGATGCTACCCCGAGGGACTGTCACATTAAATCACCTGGGGAGCTTTAAAAATACAGATTCCCAGAGCGTAATGAAGAAGGGCTGCTTCAAGCTCAGAAATCCAGATTTGCCCACAGCTCTCTCCAAGTGGCTCTGAGGCCCCGCCTCACTGAGTAGCCCCTCAGGGCTAGGCGTCAGCCCCTCCTACACCCCCTACCCCACCCCAGTGCTCCCAGCTGCTGGACCCTCTGATAGGGATAATGCTCGGACCTCACACATTGAGGCTACCAGAGACTCACGCCCCAGGTCAAACCACCTGCCCACAGTACAGACCCCATCAACCTTTACAGGCCTCCCTGTCACACCTGAAATCCACTGTCCTTTCAGCATGCTCAGCAGATGTCACCTCACAAAGGATTGGATACATTTGTCCTCACCATGGCTACTTGACTCCTCCCTCTGCCCACAGCCCATCCCTGGGCCCTCTGCCCCACACCTGCTTCCTGGCCCTCCTGGTCTTCAGCCCTGGACAGACTCCAGCACTGAAACCCATCTGACTCAGACAATACAATGCATTTCCTTCTGAGAGGATGGAAACCAGTGGTTCTCAAACATTACAGGGTGAAGCACCACTCAGAACGTGGGCGGCTCAACAGAAATGCCAATTCCAGGACCCCTCCCTGAAAGACACTGAATCTGCAGGATAGGGCAGGGCCCTGCAATCTGCATTTTCCACAAATAACACACGGAATCCAGGACTGCACTTTGAGAAACAGTGCCAAAGAAGCCAGCAAGAAATACTTACTAAGAAATGATTCGCACTCTACTCTTTCCGATTTTTCACCATCTCCAGTAAATAAATTTCTATTAGACCATGTTGGCCTGAACCACGTCAGATTAATATTCTAAATCTGTTTTTATTACATCTATTTAGGGACCACCGGCGGAATATAAGTCACATGTAAACAGCAGGAGAGTTTGCAGAGCGCTATAAAAACATGGAAAGAACGCCACCTGACTGAGATCTGGTGTGTTATTTCCATCCTGGGGGCCCTATAACAACGTCGTGAACCAGAAATGATAGACTTGCAATTCCAAAAGCACTTGTGGGACTCACCACCCAGGGCAAAGGTTCTGGGAGCTGCTTTGCAGAAAGAAGAGGATCTTCGTCAAAACTAACTCCACTCACCTGATTCAGTTAAAAGACCTGCTGTGAATGTCAAGTGCAGTGGAGTAAAGGGGAATCACTGTCCAGTGAGTGTTCATTTCTATTTCATTTAAGAAACACAACTATTAATCATTTTCAATGGTACTGGCTGAATTGTGTCCCTATAGCGTGAAGGTATGTTGAAGTTCTGACTGCCGGCACCTCAAAATGTGATCTTATTTGGAAATAGAGTCTTTCCAGAGGTAATCAAGTTAAGATGAGATCATTCGGATGGCTCCTAATCCAATATGACTGGTGTCTTCACAAAAGGACACAGAGACAGACACGCTCAAAAGGAAGACAAAGTGAAGACCCAAGACAAATGCCATCTACAAGCCTAAGGCTTCCCAACCTGCAACAGATTCTCTCTCACAGCTCTCAGAAGGAATCAACTGTGTTGACACCCTGATTCTGAACATCTAAGCTCCAGAGGTATGAAACAAATATTTTTTATGACAGGCCCAGGAAACGAATACATTCAACAAGCCTAGTGTTTATGAAATAACAACATCAAACAGCTATGATAAAACAACCACAAGTGCAACTGAATTGAGTACTAAGGTGAGCATTTTATAAGCAATACCTCATTTATTCTTACAGCCAATGGTAAAACAAGATTGTTCTCTCCGTTACACAGATTAAGAAACTGAGGACTAAGAAGATTGAAAAATGTGCCCAAATTAACACAGAGAATCAATATCAGGGCTTGGCTTTGAAATCCACGTTCAAACAGAATGTTAGGGATGATACAGAGTGAAAGAAACTAAGACGCCAAGAAGATAAGTCAAGGTCACACGCAGAGTCGCTGGCAGAGCTCACATTGACACTGAGTTTCCAACTCTTTGGTTAGGGTTTGCTCACCCATCTTCAACAAACATGTCCTGGGATCTTGATGCTGAAGGCATTACAGGACTATGACATGACTTGATCCCCATTCTCAGAAGATCTACCCCTAATGAGAGAGTTAGATTAAAACAACACAAAGCATCGTGTGGTAATAAAAATTACAATCTTGATTATTAATAATAGTATCTTTCATTTATTGAATACTTGCTTTGAGGCTTCGTGCCAGCGTCTGTGCTAAGTTTACCATGTGCTTTACATCTTTTAACCTGCACAACGACCGTATGAGGTGGGACTATTATTGCGCCCATTTTACAGAAAATAAGACTGAGGCTGAAGAACTTAGATAGACGACACAGGGCCACAAATATTTGTTCTCCAAGGGGTTCCAAAGGAAGGAGGGATCCTAGGGGCTGGGATCTGCTGAAATAGTATCCTAGAGGTAGTGGGGACGTCCAAAGGCAGGAAAGGGCTCAGAGAAACAAACAATGGAGAGGAAGGCACTGCAGGCTGGAGGACAAGGCTATGCAGAGGCATGGAGGCAGGATGGCTTTGCTTGTCTTGGCAGAATGAAGAGACCAGGTGGCCTACAGCAGTTGATCCAAGAGTGGGAGGTTATGGGAGACATGATGCGGAAGGAAACAGAAGTCAAGTCTGAATACCCTGCTCAGGGTTTGAAATTTTCTTTGAGAAAAGAGAGCCAGTGAAGGTTGTTAAACTGGACACAGCAGTGCAGTGCAGCAGGGCAGGGCTCTGGAAAGGTCCTCCTGGTGGGGATGTGGTCCTGGTTTTTAATAAAAAATCTAACGGCAATGAAACCAGGTAGAAGCTTTCATGTATGCACGTGTGTGTGTGTGTGTGTGTGTGTGTGTGTGTGCGCACATGCTTGGTAATAGTCCACAGGTGAGGTGAGGCCTGGACAAAGGTGGTGGCCATGGGGCTGGAAGGACAGACACAAGGGGACTCCCACAGGAGAACAAGTGGTGCATTTCCTATCAGGTGAGAAGGAAAGGCCGAGAGTGACTAGAACAATGATGACCCTAAGGAGCCAAATTCTGGACTGGAAACCTTTCCAGCATCCTATAATTCCTGTGTAATTAAGATTTAAAAAAAATATTTTTTCAGGCTGATCCACCATTTTGGTATGATTATGGGATGTACAACAGTGACTCTGGTCTTAGAGGGTCCAGGTTCCAATCCTGACTCTGCCACATCTACTACCTGCGTGCAAGCTATTAACTGCTCTGTGCCCCAGTTTCCTCATCTGTAAAATGGTTATAGTAGGGTCATTGTGAGAATTCAGTTGAGATCATCCATGAAGAGTGCTCAGCACAGTGTCTGGTACAGATGTGATCAATTTAAATCCGATCTAATAGCTATTATTGTTGTGGTCATCATAATTATTGTCTGGGCATGAGGGCTCACACCTGTAATCCCAGTATTTTAGGAGGCTGAGGTGGGAGGATTGCTTGATTCCAGGAGTTTGAGACCAGCCTGAGCAACATGGTGAAATCCTGTCTCTACAAAAAAATACAAAAAGTCAGCCAGGCATGGTTGCACACACCTGTAATCCCAGCTCCTCAGGAGGCAGAGGAAGGAAGATCACTTGATCCCAGGAGGCGGAGGTTGCAGTGAGCCAAGATCATGTCACTGCCCTCCAGCCTGGGTGAAAGAGAGAGACCCCTGTCTCAAAAAAATAAAATAAAATAAAATAATAAACATGAAAAATAAAAATTATGATTATTATCTAAGTATTGACAATTAAAATGTAGCCAAGTTCTAAGCTTGAGCCTAGCCTCATGCCCCATGAGATTTGGGGCCCATCAGGGCTGGGCTAGGAAACCACATACAGAGAAAAACAAACAAATATTGAGTTACTCCTAAAAACAACTACCTCCCATGCTGCTAACCTCTTAAGCATCCTCCTTTAACTTTTACATTCTATTAGCCTCCGCATCTATGCTATATGACTCAAAATCATTGTGCAGCAAACTCTTGCTTATTACTAAATATCACAGAAAACAAAGTTAAAAATATTACAATCAAATGATGTAATGCTTCCCAAAATCTGTTCTGTAGAGCATTAGGCTTTTAATATTCTCCTTTCAGTGAAAAATAGAATTCCAAGAGCAAGTAAGTTTGGGAAACACTGCATCTTCTATTCACTATTCTCTTTCAGAAATGCACAATGCACATTGCTATATTAAAGGCTATGAGAAGACCTGAACAAAAACCTGCTTGACCCCACAGTAAGATATCACTACACATCCATTAGAATAGCTCTAATCAACAGACAGACAATAGCAAGTGTTGGCTAGAATGTGATGAACTGGAACCCTCAGAAACTGACAGTGGGCATGTAAAATAGCCTTTGGAAGCTAGTTCGTCAGTTTCTTAAAATGTCAAACATACACTTACCAAATAACCCAGCAGTTCCATTCTGAGAATCTACCCAAGATAAATAAAAATATATGCCCACACAAAGACTTGGACACAAATGTTAATAGCAACATTATAATTGCCCCAAACTGGGAACAGTACAAATGTCCACCAGCTGATGAATGGATAAACCAAGTGCAGTGCAATGAAACACTGATTAGCAATAAAAAAGAAACAAATTACTGATACAAACTATAACCTGGGTGAACATTACGTCAAATGAAAGAAGCTAAACACAAAAGACCACGTGTTGTATGATTCCATTTAGATGAAATATCCAGAATATGCAAATCCATAGAAAGAAAGTAGATTAGTGGTTGCCCAGAGCTGTGGGTGACAGTGGGGAATGATTGTAAGTAAACTTGAGGAAATTCAGGGGTGTGGGGAGGGTGTTGATGGGAATGTCCTAAAACTGGATTATAGTGATGATTGTACAATTCTATGAATTTACTAAAAATCATCAAATTGAACACTTACAATGAGTGGATTTTATGGTATATAAAATATACCTCAATAAAGCTGCTGCCCCACCCCCAAAAAAATATTTAACCTATTAAAATCAGTGTTTCCCACTATCATGGGCTTCTTTTTCCTTGGAATCCTCATTAACATCCATGGAATATAGGCTGCTCTAAATAAAGATTTTTTTTCACTAGAATCTAAGCTCCATTCATCCCAGGATTTTGTCATGTCTTAAAAACCCATTTGGCAAGCATCCTGGAGTCTATTTGCATGAGGGACCAAGAGCTTCCTATTGGAAGAGAGAATTGCAGAGCACATCTTGGTCATAAGCCCGGTGGATTACTGCTGAAAGGAAGGATAATTCTGAACCTCTTCACCAGGCTCTGTCCAATCTTGATGGTGTATCAAGAGCCCAGAATGTGCCCAGGTGCAGTGGCTCATGTCTGTACTCTCAGCACTTTGGGAGGCCAAGTTGGGTGGATCACCTGAGACCAGGAGTTTGAGACAAGCCTGGGCAACATGGAGAAAGCCCATCTCTGAAAATCGTACAAAAATTAGCTGGGTGTGATGGTGCACACCTGTAGTGCCAGCTACTAGGGAGGCTGAGGCAGGGAGGATGGCTTGAGTGGCTTGAACCCGGGAGGCGGAGGTTGCAGTGAGCTGTGAGCATGCCACTGCACTCCAGCCTGGGTGACAGAGAAAGACCATGTATTAAAAAAAAAGAAGAAAGAAAGCAAGCCCAAAATATAGCAACTCTGCTGTGAACAATAACAAAAGATGGTCCCCTTAGCCAAGATACCAGATACCAGTATCCTCAGGGCCCACCCATAGAGAGCTGAGCACATCTGGTGGTCCCTTTAGCAGGAGTCGGTAGCATCTGTGACTTCACTTGCAGTCAGTTTTGGCAAGAGATTCACCCCAGTGAGTCAGGGCAGAAGAAGAAAATGGCAGACATCCCATGCTTAGAAGGACTGGATACCCTTGGGTACTCCTGGAACTATTTGGCAGGAATTTGGTGGACACTGAGGCATTATAGGGACAAAGCCCGAGAAAATGTTATTTGAGAACCTTATTGTAATTCTATTTTATATAAAGAAAGAGAAGAGTCAACACACTCAGACGGGTACTAATGAGATATTCATATGTGTCAGCTTTGTGGAAAGGGGTGAGGTTCCAGACACACTCCCCCAAAATTTGGCACCTTGGCATTTGAGAAAACAGCAGAAGCAGGAGGGGCTTTCTGTCCTTCCCCTTCCCCTTCTCCCCTGAAGCAGATTGTAAAAATGTGTTCTGACTTTCCTCTAAAGTAGGTCATAAAATCTTCATTCCAGAAGTGCCCACCCTATACCCACAGGAAAAGAATATCCTTATCTCTGAAGACACAGGGACACAGAGATGAAACTGAGCAGACAGGCCTTGGTAAATTCCCCCAGCTCATTCTCATGAGACCATGCCCTTTTGTCCTCCAATCATATTGCTGCACAACTGTCCAGAACAATAAACAGTTCTCCTGTTTTTTTGGAGAGTCTTCATTTCTGAAGGCTCCCATGTCACATAAAACTTATATTAAATAAATTTGTGTGCTTTTCTCTTGTTAATCTGTCTTTCATTATAGGGGTCTCAGCCACTATCCTAGCAACGATAAGAAAGAATACCTTTTACTTTAGTTCCCATCCTAATTGAGATGGTCATAGCAATAGTGAGTACTGAGTGAGGGCATGGGACTCCGTACAAAATAGTCTTTTGTGTTAGAGAAAGTCCACTGGACTACTGGAGACAGGACCTGAATCATAGTCCCATCCCTGCCATAAAGGCATTGAGGGAGCATGAATGAAGTCACTCACCTTCTGGGGTTCTCAGCTCCTCGCCTCTCAAGCGAGGGATTGTTCTGGACGATTTCTAAGACCGTGTCTAGCCATCTGACTCAATATTTTCTCATGTATCTGTGAAAATGCTTTGAAGCATCTAAGTAATATATAATAACAGAATTATTATTACATTAGAATATGACAGGATAATGTCTCTTTCAAGTTAAGAGCAACATTTACAAGCTGATTAGCCATTTGTTTTGGCAGTTTGGTGGCTGTTTATTCTTTTTTATTATTATTATACTTTAAGTTCTAGGGTACATGTGCACAACATGCAGGTTTGTTACATATGTATACATGTGCCATGTTGGTGTGCTGCACCCATTAACTCGTCACTTACATTAGGTATATCTCCTAATGCTATCCCTTCCCCCTCCCCCCAAACGTTCAGAATTACTCCAAGAGGTCCCATAGCATTGCACACATATTTCTATTATCATATTATACTGGAATTATTGGTGTCTCTTTGTTTATGTGTTTCTCTCTGCCAGGAGATTGTGGGCAGGTCCAAGATAGATAAAGCACTGAATTTTACTTATCTTTGAATCACCAAAACCAAACAGTCTTGAACATAGAAGATTCTCAAAAAATGTTTGCTTAATGAACACAGTTAATAGTTATTCAGGGCCAGGCGCGGTGGCTCACACCTGGAATCCCAGCACTTTGGGATGCTGAGGCGGGCAGATCATCTGAGGTCAGGAGTTCAAGGCCAGCCTGGCCAACATGGCGAAACCCCATCCCCACTAATTAGCCGAGCGTGGTGGCACACACCTGTAATCCCAGCTATTCAGGATGCTGAGGCAGGAGAATCACTTGAACCTGGGAGGCAGAGGTTGCAGTGAGCTGAGATCGTGCCACTGTATTCCAGCCTGGGCAACAGAGCAAGGCTCGGTCTCAAAAAAAAAAAAAAAAAAAGGTAGTTATTCAGTGCCTTGCTGATGTTGAAAATGGCCCATGAGACAGAATGTCCCTGCCTTGAATAAATAGATGAACTGGTTTAATGCTATGCTTTACTTTTGTTAAAAAAAAAAAAATACAAGTTAAATTGCCAGGTACAGTGGCTAGCACTTTGGGAGGCCGAGGCGGGCAGATCACCTGAGGTTGGAAGTTCGAGACCAGCCTGACCAACATGGAGAAACCCCGTCTCTACTAAAAATAAAAATTAGCTGGGCGTGGTGGCACATGCCTGTAGTCTCAGCTACTCAGGAGGCTGAGGCAGGAGAATCACTTGAACCTGGGAGGTGGAGGTTGCCACGAGCCGAGATCACACCATTGCACTCCAGCCTGGGCAACACAGCAAGACTCCATCTCAAAAAACAAAAAAACAAAAAAAAAAGAAAAGAAAGAAAATGTACAAGTTAAATTAAAAGTTCAGTTCTTTGGACACACACAGAGCCATTTACTTTCTCACTTGCCTGTAGTCCTTCTATTTACATCCACAAGTTCCCAGCTAAGATTGCTGGGGGTGCAGTGGTTCTACCGACTGACTGCTTGAGTTACTTGTTATCAACTTTCTGACCATAAAATATGTTTTAACCACCTGTGATGCTTCCTGAAATACCCTGCTTGATGTTTCTGGGGTAGATTACATCAACCCGTGGGCTGAAAATACCAGGGCTTATTTGGCTGGCATGGGAGACAGTGTTCTTTGAGGCTTCCAACAATTGCTGCACTCGCCCCACTTACAACAGTGTTGGTTCATGAGTATTATATTAAAAATACTTCTTTCTTCTAAGCTGAATCATCCATCTATTTTCTATTTTGTTAAAACAGAAAGCTAGTTTTCAAGGTGGGAGAAACAATTGGTTATGAAATAAGAACCAAACCCTGCGAATTTTTTTGCTGGAGAAAAAAACAAATACTTTAAAGTAATACCAAATACTTCAAAGTAACATCAGACTTAGTCTGAATTTTCATAATGGTTTTTAGTTTTAAATACAAATGCAGAACAATAATTTATGGAGAAGTATGTTTATCAAAACATTATTTATTACATCAACCCTTGAAAACAAGCCATACGTCACATAACAAGGGTTAGGTAAATAAATATTAAGATATTTATACAGCTAAATCTTATGGGAATATAAGAAACATGTTTTTGAATGACTTTTTAAGAAAAAAAGAGAAAATGATGACACTATAATACCAGGTAAAAATGCTAGGTAGATCATGTATTTATGGTTATACTAATAGTATCCATAATATTATATGAATATGTATTTATACTATGCAAATATTTCTGGCAGGATGATCAGTTAAGATGTTAATGTTTGCCAATTCCCCCCTGAAAAGTGTATTTTCTCTCTCTCTCTGTTCCTCTGTGTTCCAAAACCTAGCCCGTATTTGTTTTCTAGTGTGATCCTTAAACCACCTGCAGGAGAGAATCACCTGGTGTTAGCTAAATGCAGACGCCTGGCTCCCATTCCAAAACTGCTAAAACAGAAGGAGGAGGGAAATCCACTTTATCTCCAAGCTCCCAGGGTAATTTTTGTGCTCACTCAAAGTCAAGAACCTCTGGCCTAAGTTCTTACCCCAGGAAACAGTTTCATTGTGATTCAAGTGCAAGGCCAAAGAAGACCTCACCCAAGCCTTCAGAGAGTTAATTAGCTCTTTGCAGGAGCTAAGCTGGTAGGGAAGGGGATGAGGGGCTGGTGCTTGGACTTGTGGAGATGCCCAACCACAAGGACAAAGACTCCTGGACGAAGGAATGTGAGCTCTCCAAGAGGAGACAGAACCTGTCCCTCCTGCAGGCAGCGCTCCGGATGTGGGATAGCTATGGGATGCCTGCGAAGGCCGTTTACCCTGCAGCCCTGGGGTCAGCAACAATGGTCCCAGCCTGCAGTACGACTGGTAAACAGAATCAAGAATCACTGAGCAGCGTCTCTTGTAGTTTATCCAAAACAGAACTGCCTGGCAGATGGCAGAAGGCTTGCTCCTGAAGGCAGCATTGAGGAGCAGAAAGAACGAGGAGAACCACTGTGGCTATAGCCATGGACTAAGGAGTCAAGCACACCCCCCACAACTGTTTGGGGAACACTTAAATAAGTGAGCCAGTGGAATGGGGAAGGAAGCCCTAACAAAGACCAATTATGGGCAGCTTGCCAATCCTACTTCGTTTTGATTTCATCGGGAAAACAATTGTTAATGATATTTCTTGCCATACAGTGGCTGTTGTAAAGCGAATTCTTGCCCACTGCATTTCTTTACAGATACCAGCTCTGCCATTCGCAAGTTCTGTGAATCAGAGCAGGTTTCTGAACCTTAAGCTTCAGTTTCTTCATGTGTGAAATGAGGATAATAAGGATTCCTATTCATTGCATTGTTATGAGAATTAAATGAGTTAACATTTTCAAAATGTTTGGCACAGTGTCCATCACCAAGAAAGAGCTCAATAAAAATAGCTATTGTTATATAAACACACACACAGATATGCCTTCCTAGGTATTCCCTAATTCCTGCAGAGATGCATACCACACTCTAAAGGACAACGAGACCCTTAACCTCACTCCACAAGCAGCAAATCTGAGGCCTTCTTGGGTGAGACCCTCTGGTTTTTTAGCACTTCCACTCTGCTGGAACCCTGCCCTGAATCCTCATCCCCAGGTTGGGGTCACCACTACCCCACTCCACCAGTCCATGCCAGCTCCCTCCTCTAGAGATCCGGAACCGGTCCACTTCCCAGTAGTCATGAGCTGATATTTTGTTCCCATATGACTGATTTCCAAGTTAAGTGTTTCCCAAAGTGGAAGATGCTACCTTTGATGGTATCTGACATGACTTCAAAAGGTGTTTGAACATACCATTCAATAACACTGAATCACATAGAGAAATGGTGATTCCATTTTCAGGGTTCTTTCAATCCCTTTTGATTGTCAAGGAAAAAGCCTCCTTTTGGGGGCCAGCACAGCTCTACCACTTCCTTGCTAACTTGTTAATTATCCTTTTGAATGAAATGAAAACAAGACTCAGGTTCAGAGCCTTTAAAGGGAATAGTATCTGGCTACCATCAATAACATAACACTGTATTATTTTTACTGTCTTTTTTTATAGTAACCCTATATTTATAGGAGTGGTATAGTATCTTTACTAAATGAATGCAGTCAGTTAGTAAAAATGACCTGAATTTTTAAAATTAAGTAAGAGGAGTACAGGAGGTGGTATATGATCTTTGCCAGGGACATGGTAAAAATTTTTACAGATGAATTATGGACATTTGGCAAAGACCACCCAGACAGGAAGTGCTGCCTTCGAGGTGGAGAGAAAGTAGCACGTTCTGAGTTGAGCACTTTAAATTTATCATCTCATTTCAACTTTACAACACAAGGAGATACATACCTTTACCTTTGTATTCCATAGATAACTAAGGCTCAGAGAGGTTAAGTCACTTGCCAAGGTCACACAGCTAGTAAGTTCAAGAGTCAGGATTCAAACTCACCTGCTATACCAAACTGCCTCTGCTACACCCTAACTGCATCTCCCACTGCCAGATAGGTATCTCACTGGAAAGTAACACCAGCTTGAGGAAAAGTTAAATGTGCCCATGAGTCTATTGGTCCTATTGGGAAGCCAACTTAGAGCCCAGCCTTGGCATCCTGACTTCCTCTATTCTCTCTCTTTCCTATTTTTTATTTTTGTTTATTTATTTTTCTGAGACAGGGTCTCACTCCACCACCCAGGCTGGAGTGCAGTGGCACGATCTCAGTTCACTGCAACCTCCACCTCCCAGGTTCAAGTGATTCTCTTGCCTCAGCCTCCCAAGCAGCTGGGATTACAGGTGTGAGCCACCATGCCCAGCTAATTTTCGTATTTTTTTTTTTTTTTTTAGTAGAGACAGGGTTTCACCATGTTGGCCAGGCTGGTCTCAAACTCCTGGCCTCAAGTGATCCCCTTGCCTCGGGCTACCTTAGTGCTGGGATTACAGACATGAGCCACCGTGCTCAGCTTCTCTTTTTAAAGTCACTTTCTTTTTTAAAATATTTTTTTCTTTTTCTTATTTTTTAAAAATTTTTTTATAGAGACAGGGTCTCACTGTGTTTCCCAGGCTGGTCTCAAACTCCTGGGCTCAAGCGATTCTCCTACCTCGGCCTCCCAAAGTGCTGGGACTACAGGAGTGAGCCACCGTGGCCAGCCAGCTTCCTTTATTCTCTACCAGAACATCCCTCTACAATTCCACTTTACCTTGCCATTAAATACACCCAACAAAGAGCACTTACTGTAAGCAACAACTGAACATATCCCTGTATGATGACGCAGGAACACGTGTGCCCTAAGTAAATGCTAAGACTGACAGAATTAAACAGTGAATCTTAGCAAACTTGAGTCCTGTCAAGTTACCTAATGATGGGACTCACATGGGGGCCAGTGACTCTAGCAGGAGCACACAGGGACTTTAGTGGGAAGGCAGCAGACATAGGTAGGAAGGAAGGTAGGGCCAGGTTGGAAAGGAGCTTCAGTAACAACAGAGGGCCGGCTAATTGACACCTAAAACTTGAAAAGTGAAGCCCACAGAGATAGATTTGGGGTAAGCCCAAGGAAGAAAGAGAGCAAGTTTTCTGGAGAGTTTTCATTCTTGCTTTTGTTTTTCCTGAGAAGCAATATTTCTTTGGAAAGAAAAGTCAGAGCTATTGAAATGGAAGCCTCTGCTGTTGCACAAATCTACCTGGAGGCTCATGGCACACAACATAGGTTTATCTAAGAGAGCATCTAGAAACAGGTCATATTTCTGATGCACTTCAATCTCCCAGAGCAAAGAAGAGATGTTATAACCTGGTGGGCATTTCAACATGCATTTTTTTTTCTCACAGTAGAGTTGATTCAAAAATAATTCTTCTGGCTGAAAGTCTAGTTTAAAAATACTGAACATCTGGGTGCAGTGGCACACGCCTATAATCCCTGCACTTTGGGAGGCTGATGCGGGAGGATCTCTAGAGGCCAGGAGTTCGAGACCAGCTTGGGCAACACAGTGAGACCTCCAACTCAAAAAAAAAAAAAAAAAAAAAAGCCCAGGCGAGGTGGCTCATGCCTGTAATCCCAGCACTTTGGGAGGCTGAGGCGGGTGGATTATGAGGTCAGGAGTTTGAGACCAGCCTAGCCAATATGGTGAAACCCTGTCTCTACTAAAAATACAAAAATTAGCTGGGTGTGGTGGTGGGCACCTGTAATTCCAGCTACTCAGGAGGCTGAGGCAGAAGAATTGCTTGAACCCGGAAGGCAGAGGTTGCAGTGAGCCGAGACTGCGCCACTGTACTCCAGCCTGGGCGACAGAGCGAGACTCCAACAAAAAAAAAAAAAAAAGGAAGAAGAAGAAGCAGCAGCAGCAGCAGCGGAGGAAGAGGAAGAGGAGGAAGAAGATGGAAGAAGAAGGAGAAGAAGAAGAGTTTAAGCCACTAAGCCAATGGCAGAATTGAGTGTGATCCTGAAGACTGCCATGGCTATCATCAAATGAGTCATCAAAGAGAAGGCCACACACCCATGATCCCCTTCTCATGAGGTTGACAAACTCTGCCTGCTGACACTTCTAGCTTTTAAATTCTGAGACTAGCAAGGAAGGAAGTTCTGGGAATGAGCCCTTCACTCCATTCCACTGGCACTGCCTTAGCACAGCTCTCACCTCAGTTCCCTGACACCATCAGCCCCCGCCTCATGGCCTAAACTCTCTTAGCGGCTTCGAAACTACTGCCGTTGATTTGGCCATACAGGACCCTTGCTGAATGACACCCTGCCCACCTCTCCAACTTCATTTTCTCCTTTTCTGGTCGTCCCTCCCTAGGGGTGTGGCCTTACTTCACTGTCTTCATCAATGGCAGGCATTGATTCCTCCAACACTTCAGGGGCACCTACTGCCTGGAGGGCCTATGCCAGGCGCTGGGAGCACCCAGGAGAATAAAACAAGCTCCTGCCCTCATGTCCCGTACAGTCCAGTGAACAGATATTTTAATAAGCCTAAGAACAGTAGACTTTCTATAAAGAAAGGGCTCTCTCTTCACACATAAGATATTCTCTAGCTTCTGGTTCGTTTGAACCTTTGGAGGCATATCAAAACCAGTAAAAACTCAAAGCTGGCATGAAACTGAGGAGATGCATTGCTCCAATAGGGGACACTGGCTGGAAATTTGATCTCTTCCTAAAAGACTCAAGAAACTTTGTGGATACAGATGTAGGAGTTACCGAGGTTAAGGGAGGCTGGGAGATGGGCAGGCTAGAAGGGATGATATCAAGGAGGATCCAGGATCATTCCCCAACACACCCCAGATGCAAGTCTGAGAGCAGCTGGCAGGCTAGAAAAACCACCTCTTTATGTCTCAATTTGCCTCTGCTCTGACTTTAGCCTTTCTTGAAACTACCCTGCCCTTTGCTGCAGTCTAGCCTTGCAATAACCCAGCCGTGGAAATTCCCTGTCCTCTAGGATTGCCTGCCATCTGTACTCTCCGCAGCTTAGACCGAACTACTTACCACCTCCTGCTTGGTTCGGGACCCCGGTCCCTGCTGCCCAGTTACGGCTCCACCTCATAGACTGTCAGTCTACAGCTCTCCCAGCCTCTGGAAACCTCCCCATCATTTCTCACTGGGGAAATTATCAGTAGTGGCCTCACAGATTATCTTGCAGTCCCATCTAGTTACCCGAAATAATAATTTTTGTTTAAATTCACCTCACTGTGTTCCAATTCCTATCTCCATCTCCTAATTATCCTGCCATAGACTCAGCCCCCGGGTGTCATTGGCCCTGTGGTTCTCTCCTGCCTGGACACTCACAAGCCCCACTCCAACAGATCCCTGCTCTATAATTAGTCCCCCTCCATCTCCCCATTCTCTTCCCCAATTCAGCTTAGGCAAATTATAAACTTTGTAATTAGAAAAGGGTAATGTGTTGCCAGGAATGCAAACATATTTAGTGCTAAAGCCTAGTGTTTTGTGCAGTTCTGGGCTCTGCTCCAAATCCTGGAGTAACGAAGAAAGATAAGGGGAAAGGAAGAAAACCTTTAATGAACTTGTAGTTTATGTCAGGAGCTTCTCACTCACGATCTCATTTAATTCTTTCAAAGACCTGAGAATTTGGGTTTAGGTAACAGGAGCTGAGAAAGGCCAAGAGATTTGCCCAACGTCATACCCCTGGAGAGAGGCAGAGCTAGATTCAAACCCAGGTCTCTACCTGGCTGTCTCTGCAGTCATATCTGGGCTTCCCCATATATTACAGAATATCACATATTATCTCAGTCTGGCACCTGACAAGCTCAGCTAATAGTGTGATGAAATTCCTCAACATGCCTTTTCAACTGTTTGGCTTTCCTATTCAAATTACTCCTACATATTTGGCAAGGAAAGATTCCAAATAATGTCAACACTCGAAAACTCTGCTTAAGCCATCAAAACTAGTACTGCCAGCCAGGCGCAGTGGCTCACACCTCTAATCCCAGCACTTTGGGAGGCCGAGGTGGGGGCATCACCTGAGGTCAGGAGTTCAAGACCAGCCTGGCCAGCATGCTGAAACCCTGTCTCTACTAAAAATACAAAAATTAGCTGGGCATGGTGGCACATGCCTCTAATCCCAGCTAGTTGGGAGGCTGAGGCAGGAGGATCACTTGAACCTGGGAGGCAGAGGTTGCAGTGAACTGAGATCATGCCACTGCACTCCAGCCTGGGCAACAGAGCAAGACTCTGTCTCAAAAAAAAAAAAAAAAAAAAAAAAACAAAAAACAGTACTGCCACAGTCACTCATTGTAACTGATGGCTAACTGGCAAGCAACTTGAGGACAGAGTCTATCTCTGACTCTTCTGTCACCTATGTAGCAGGAAGCAGGACCTGGCACTGACAGGTACATAATAAATAAATTATTACCAAAGAAAAAGAAGAAGATTGCATTCCTGCACAACTGAAGCCAAGAATAGTGGAAACCCACGTAATCCATTGTGGCATCATTTAAACTGTCCGTGGATACTGAAATGAACTCCAACACTGTTATGTTTTGGAGTCCTGAATGGAGCAGAAGAAGGAGATGAGTGTGAGTGAGCCACCCAGCTGGGTGACAGGGAGAAGATCATTTTTTTAAAAGATGCATCTTCATTGCCCTCCTATTGCTAAATTGCTTTCTTACATAGAGGGTTGTCATATACAAGGAGGGGGAAAGATGAATTTTTGAGAAGACCTGGCAGGAATATTGTTGTAGGCTCTTCAATAGCTACTAGACTCATCCTAGAAACAGATGGCACATCACTGCAACATGCTGCATGAAGGACAATTCCTGCATCAGGCATCATCCAGGGTCCACCCCCAGAGCTGCCTGCTGCTGTCATCCGGAGTCTTGAAACCAAATACATGATGTTTTCTGTGTTCCATGAATATGAAACTGTCATTAGCAAAATGATCTTTAGCAACTTTCACCTCTGAAATCAACTAACATCATGTTGTTTTATTTTCAAGGGTGGGGGGAAAACACTTTTCTCTTCATCATAAATCACAAAGCAATGATTCCCCGAGAGATATAAGAAAAAAGAGGTTATCTGCAAGCTGTTGTGCATATAAATAGAGGTATAGACACACCAGTTTTTGCAAAATGCAGAGGGCTTAGTGGTATCTGCTGGGGAATTTGAAACCAGCTGCTCAGACACCGCTAGGTTTCTACTACATCGTGAAAGCTCCAGCTGTTTCCACTGAGATCACAGACGCGGGTGAGACTGTCGATATTGATGGGGTGCAGAAAATGTTACCCAAAAATATGGCACCTTGGAAATTGAGAAAACAGCAGAAGTAGGAAGGCCTCTCTGCCTTCTCTGACCCCCTTCTCCCCTGAAGTGGGCCACAGACACTAGAATTCCACTTGCCCCTTCTTCCCTGATGCAGGCGATAAAACCTGGGAAAGTCACTCTCTGACCTTCTTCCTCACTTCTCCCCTGAAGGCCCTCCTGTGACAGGTATCCTGCCCTATACCTGAGAGGGAGAATTGTCACATAGGTTGTCAAGAAGAAACTGAACAGGCCTTGTTAAGTTCCTCCCCAGTTTATTACCAATAGAGCATGCTCTTTTGCCCTCCAATCATACTTCTGCATGACTGTCCATAAAAATACACAGATTCCCTTGTTTCTCTGGGTCATGATTTCTGAAGGTTCCTGTGTCACATAAAACTTACGTTAAATAAGTTGGTATGCTTTTATTTTGTTATTCTGTCTTTGGTTATGGGGTGTCAGCCATGAACCTTGTGATAGGTGAGGAAAAGAAATTATTTTTCTTCCCTACAACATCAAGCTGACCAAACAGACTTGGTGGATATTGCCCCCGATAAATTGACCCTTGGTATGCCGGCGAACAAATTGTTTCCTTGGTGGGGACCACACAGACCACACACACAGGCCTTTTTCAGGTATAGGAATTAGAAAGAGTCCTTCCTGAGCCAGTTTTTTGCTCTTAACACAGAATGCCTACCACAAAGGTATTCTTCAGTCCCACCTTTTTAGATATCCGACAGAAAAAAAACATTGTTTTAAGACCAGGCACAGTGACTCACACCTGTAATCCCAGCACTTTGGGAGGCCAAGGTAAGAGGATCGCTTGAACTCAGAAGTTCAAGATCAACCTGAGCAACATGGTGAGACCCCGTCTCTCAAAAAAAAAAAAAAAAAAAGCCAGGCATAATGGCGTGTGCCTGTAGTCCCAGCTATTTGGGAGGCTGAGGAGGGAGGATCACTGGAGCCCGGGAAGACTGCAGTGAGAGCTAGGATCTCATGCTTCTGCACTCCAGCCTGGGTGACTCAAAAAAAAAATTTTTTTAAAGGAAATTGCTCACAATCCCATTTCACATCTTTCATCTTGCCCTCAGTCTCAACCAAAACTCTCCCTTCTCACTCTCTCAAGCCTCTCTGGAAAATGCATATACTTAGGGTTGCATCAATCTGCTTTTCTATTTGGGATGATGTGTCCAAATAAAAGATCCTAACATCGAACATCAGCCTTCAAACTTCTCTGTTGATCAGGGGACACATTTCCCCTCCTAAACACCTGAAATTTAAATATGCTCTTTTATGTCATATAATATAATCAAGTCAAGGGAAAACATAACAGGTACTAGGTCGAACATTTATATCCTATGAGTATACCAGCTAACAAACCAGAAGATAACTCCATTATCCTTTTAATGGACACCCACCCCAAACCCCACTCATTCAAAACATTTTTATGACTATTAGCTTCCAAGCAGGCATTGCCCACAACCTCCCCAGATGGATGGGCTTCCTCAAATCCCAAGCAAACTGCAAGTTTTTAATCTGATTCTAATCCAAAGAAATTCCTGAAGAGGTTTCTGACTTTTACTGAACTGAAATTCAAAATAGAAACCACAGTCAGGCCTCTGAAGAGCAGCCCCATGTGGATGAGCACATCACCCATGTATGACAATGCCATACACATGGCTGTATACATGGAGAACCTGCTGGAAGGGGGAGCTTCCTTAACTAAATACAGTAGTCATCGGCTGGGCACGGTGGCTCACGCCTGTAATCCCAGCACTTTGGGAGGCCAAGGCAGGTGGATCACTTGAGCCCAGGAGTTCAAGAACAGCCTGGGCTACACAAAGAGAACCTGTATCTGAAAAAAAAAAAAAAAAAAAAAAGCCAGGCATGGTGGCATGTGCCTGTAGTCCCAGCTACTCAGAAGGGTGAGGCAGGAGGATTGCTTGAGCCCAGGATTTCAAGGCAGCAGTGAGCTAGGATTGCACCACTGTACTCCAGCCAGGGCAACAGAGGAAGACCCTGTCTCAAAAACAAACAACCACCCACAACCACCACCACCACAACAACAAAAACAGTAGTTGTTTCTGGTGTAAAAAGATATTAAAATTTCAGGACCTCCCATATGTATCATGCCAAGGGGAAAAGTTAAGCCCTGGAAACTGACTCACCTAACACAGCTGTTTTTCTCCTCCAGTGCGTGACTGCTGCTTTCTGACCTTTGGGTTGAGATTTTATACATTAACTGAACTCTCTATTCTTTATTCAAACCTAGACTAAATGATATTGGAGATAGACACCCTTCTGATTTTTGACTCTTTGCAATAAAATGTTAAGCAATCCCTTTAGAGTATAACCAATAGTAGCCAATCAAATCTTACATCTACATTAGACTTTGTATGAAAATGTTGTTATCCTGGGCAGGGCGTGGTGGCTCACACCTGTAATCCAAGCACTTTGGGAGGCCGAGGTGGGTGGATCACTTGATATCAAGAGTTCGAGACCAGTCTGGCCAACATGATGAAACCCCATCTCTACTAAAAATACAAATATTAGCCGGGCATGGTGGTGCACACCTGTAATCCCAGCTACTCAGGTGGCTGAGGCAGGAAAATCACTTGAACTCAGGAGGCAGAGGCTGCAGTGTACCGAGATCACCACTGTACTCCAGCCTGGGCAACAGAGTGAGACCCTGTGTTTAAAAAAAAAAAAAAGAAATGTTATCCTATTCAGCACCTCCATTTTTGCCTAGATAAATGGTCCTCATTTTTCCCCACACTGGGAGCACTGATCACCATTCTTTGGTGTAGCTCTGCTTCCCTGATGTCGGCCCTCACACTTCACGCTTGAATAAACTCTTTTAACTGGATCCTGAGCTTTTTGGTTATTTTAGGTTGACACTAGAGAAAGGAATCACGTGCATTTTACCAAGTCAACAAAGCTTTCTAGAAGAAAATGAGACAAAAGAGGAAAAACAGCAGCAGAAATAAGGATGGATAAACTTCTTTCTAAATAACAGTGAGTCTGTAATCTTTTAACACATGCTTATTTCAGAAAACAAAAACAGCAGCTCAGGCTTCAGCATCAGATCAACCTGGATTTGAATGCAAGCAAAGACCTCATGCAAGTTAGGTCTTTCAACCTGTTTTCTACGCTCTCTCAGTCTCAGTTTTCCCATCTGTAAAAATTAGCTCACAAGGTGGTGGTAAGAAATAGAAGAAAGTACGTGGGCCAGGTGCATTGGCTCACACCTGTAATCCCAGCACTTTGGGAGGCGAGGTGAGCGGATTACTTGGCCCAGGAGGTTGAGACCAGTCTGGACAACATAGCAAGACTTCATCTCTACAAAAAATTTAAAAATTAGCCGGGCATGGTGACTCATGTCTGTAGTCTCAGCTACTCAGGAGGCTGAGGTGGGAGGATCACTTGAGCCCAGGAGGTTCAAGGCTACAGTGAGCTGTGACCGAGCCACTATGCTCTAGTATAGACAACAGAATGAGATTCTGTCTCAAAAAAAAAAAAAAAAAAGAAGAAGAAGAAGAAAAGAAATAAGTGGCCAGATAAGCACTGGTGGATGTGTGTAAATCTCAAAAAAAAACTACCTACTATTATCAACTCTCAACTCATTACAAATGTGGGTTAAATTTTATTCTAAACAAAGAAATAAAGGCATCATCTTCATGTGCTATCTAGTAGAAGTTCCTACACTGCCTATTACAGTAGCACTAGCCGCAGTTGGCTATTGACAACTTGAAATGTGACTAGTGCAACCAAGGAACTGAGTTAAATTTTAATTAATTTGGATTTGTAAAATAAAACTGTAAATTAAGACCCCAAGCTCTCCAGACCAGATAGACTCCCTGTGGCTAACAGAGATGCTCTAAATTTAAAAGCGAACCGGGTGGACATAGCAGGGTCAGAGGGAGCAGTCCCGCACGCCCTACCAGAGCCAGGGTAAACTGCAGTTGGAAGCCTCCCATCCCCAGCCCACTAGCAGTTTGAAAGAAATATCTGACAGAGACTTCTCTTTTGGGGCCTGGAAACCACCCAACCAGGGCTCAATTATTTCGACTGATCAGAACTGAACAAGTTTGAATCCTTCATTTGCATAAATGGACCTGATTGAGAACCTAGGCAAGAAGGTTTCCTATTTAAGCCAGATTTTCTCCCTTTGGTCTTCTGAAAGCACTTTAACTTGTACTAAAGGCTGTGCAGAGAGAGAGAGGGAGAGAGGGGGAGAGGGGAGGAGAGAGAGAGAGACAGTAGCTCTCCCTTCCTCCACAGATCTCATGGTCTTTTGTTTACAGATTTAACACGCAGGAACTTGACAAAAGTCCCCCGTTTGTTAGGACAGACCTCACACTGGACTCCAGGTCTCCATATTCCAGAGCTTTTTCTACTGTACCCTCCATTCTTCTCAAAGAAAATGCCCAGATGAAGGAATCCAGATTATTTTTATTTTCACTCGAAGCAGATGAAACCCAAGCTAAACCGTAACAAGATTGCCACATTTAGAAAACTTTAAAATAGAAACTTAATAGTGTTTGAATAAAGATATAAAGGCATTTCATCACAAAGGCTTAAGCTGTTAACTTTTACAGTTATTTGCATTTAAATAGAACATTCTTGATGCTTTTTAAAATGCTTCAATACATAACAGGATTCTAATGGTAGGATTCCAGGTGGAGAGGGAATCCCTGCCTTTTCATTTCAACGGTACCAGGCTCATGCCTGCTGACCTCGACTGTTCCAAAGGCTTGCCCCATTTGGTTCTGAATCACCTTGACCACAGGGGATGGCATAGAACCTGTGGACACCTCAGGGGTGACTATGCAGTTGGACAGCCAGGCCAGGCCCCTACCTGGGGAAGTCCTCAAGGAGAAAGGCTTGTAGCTCAAGTCCAATCCTAAATCTTTACAGGAAAGCAAAGACTCTCAAAGGATGGCATTTGTTCTGTATTCAATGGGCACTAGACTCACTAGAGGTTCTTAGGCAGGCACCTAACTGCTGGATTAAATAATGCAGTAATAAGACTGTCATCCTAAGCATTTACAAAAAGTTTACTCTGGTGGCTACTGTGATATCTACCCAGCCCCACAAACACACCCTTAGGGCTGGAGCCCTCACTCCCCAGCTGCTGGGAGTGTGAGTGGTAGTCAGTCCTTCCTAGGGATTGCCTGAGAGTAAAGAGAGGGTTTGCCTTACCCAAGATCACACCTCTTCCCAGAGCAGCCTGAAGCCAATGACTAATTACTGTGGGGATAAAAAGGCCAGGCCCATTGACCCAACTCAGGCCAACTCTACAACCTTTCCAGCTTCAGCACTCCCTGGAGTGTTGAGACTGTAGCCCCACTTCTCTCTCTGGCCAGTCCTGTTTCTTTCATCACCACCCCACCCCCACACACAGGTGTTGATCCCCAGAGCATTAATCCAGTGTGCTAATCTCCCTCTGCTTCCCAGGGAACCCAGGTAGCACAGGTACCATGTGCCAGCCACTGTTCTCAGCTTTTTATAGGTATTTACTCTTAGAGGTAAGTATTATTATCTTCATTTTACAGATAAAGAAACTGAGGCTAAACAGAGATCAATCATTTTTCCCAAGACACCCAGGTGGTCTTAGGAGATCTTGTGAAAATAAGAAGACACAATGTTGGTAAATAAACATAATAGTGACTAATACAGAGTGAGTATTCAACTCATTCATTAATGGTTTTCATTGATTCTTCAAATATTTACTGAGCACCTACTATGTGCTAAGCACTATTCTTAGCACTGCAGAAACAGTAGTGGACAAAGAACACAAAGTCCCTGACCTCATAGAGCTAACCTTCTAGTGGAGAGAGGGCAGGAAATATACAAATAAACAAGTAAATGCATATCTCATATGAGTGCTAGGCAGAAATTTAAGCAGGTTAGGGAAGACCAGAGGCGACGGGGGCAGGGATGGGGCTATTTTATGTGGGGAAGTGAGGAGAGATCTCATGATAGGTGACATTTGAGTAAAGAAGAGAAAGAAGCAGGGAGTGAGCCATGCAGATATTTGAAGAAAGACTACGTTGAGTAAAGGGGGCAAGCACAAAGTCAGAAACAGTGAAAGATACTGAACAGAGGTGGCATGCTCTGGCAAATCTTAAAAGGATCACCTGGCTGCTATGTTGAGAATAGATTTGATGGGGTTGGGGAGTGGGAGGCTAGGCACAAGGAAAGAGGCAGGGAGCCCAAATAGGAGTCTCTTGTTATAACCCAGGCCATACATGGCAGTGGCTTAGACCAAGATGGTTAGGGATGGGAGTGGTGGAAACTGTCAGATCTATGCTGCAGGTAGAGCTATCTGGATTTGCAGATGGATCCGATAAAAGATGTGATAGCAACAAAGGAAAAGTCAAGGGTGACTCCCAGATTTGGGGCCTGAGCAGTTGGAAGGATGGATTTGCCATGAACTGAGATGAAAAGGCCTGTGGGAAGAGCAGCTTTGGCTGAAGACAGGGTGGGATCAGGAGATAGGGAGTCATGGAAGTTAGCTATTACAGGCAACAGAGTTCAGGGAGAAATGGCACTGCACACGGCTTATGAAAAGAGATTCTACAGCCAGGCTACCCAGAGTTGAGTCTCAGCTCTGACGCTATTAACTATGTGACCTTGGGAAAGACACTGTACTTCTCTGGGCTTCATCATTCTCATCTGTGATGTAGGGAGAACATCTGTACTGACCTTATCAGGTCGTTATGAGGCTTAAATGAGTAAATACATGTAAAAGTATCTAGAACAGTGGCTCCCATGCAATCAGCACCATTTTAGTATTTTAAAATTCCAATGAGGTTCCCAACGGATGTAACACTTGAGGATTTGTACATAGTACAAAGAGGCACCCAAAAAGGGTGTGATTCACTGGACTGGACACTTGCTTCCCAGAGAAGACAAAACCCAAGCTTGAGTTTGAAAGGAGGGAGTCAGGTGGCCAAGGAAGTTGAGAGGGTGGGGGAACATTCAAGATAAAGGGAATAGCATGTCCATTTTACTGAAAGTATAGCCAATAATGCAGCAAAAGCCAAACATAAAATGGTTATCTTATGACACATGTATTAATCCTTTCAGATACTGTGAAATCCAGGATGTGTACAAAGAGATGGAGAATAGCTTTCAGTTTTGTTTTGTTTTCTTTTCTTTTTCTTTTTTCAGAGACAGGTTCTCCATCACCGAGGCTGGAGTGCAGAGGCACGATCATGGCTCACTGCAGTCTTGAACTCTTGGGCTCAAGCCTTCCTCCCACCTCAGGCTCCTGAGGAGCTGGAACTACAGGCATGCACCACCATGCCTGACTAATTTTTTTTAATTTTTGATAGAGATGAGGTCTCACTATGCTGCCCCGTCTGGTATCAAACTCCTGGACTCAAGCGGACCTCTTGTCTTGGCCTCCCAAAGTTGGAATTACAGCTGTGAGCCACCGTGCCAAGCCGGCTTTCAGTTTATTTATTCAAAATGAATAAACCCCAGTAGCACCATCTGACCTTCTCATGCACCTGTCTTCACTGAGTTGGGCCAGGTCTGCTACCACTGACCACAACCATGTAAGACCCATATTGACATACTGAGACTCTTTACAGCCACCACTCAGTAGCCCCAGTGGACACCCCTCTAGTTTCCTTTCTGATCCCCCAGGTAAATGCATTCAAAAAGTAATCAACAGGGATATGGCATTTGTCTCCCTTCTAATTATATTTGAACATGTTTCAAGGCCATATGGCCCGATCAATATCCCTAAACTCTCTGTACCTTACTGTTCCTAGCAATTTTGCTGGAGAAATAACATTTCAAAGGTCAAAAACCTCATTCTGGCAGAACAAACCTGCTTGATCTCAGTGAAATGGTCCACAAAGACCAAACTCAAAATTAAAGCATCAGATTCCCTCAGTGGAAACCTTACCTTTTGGTAAATTATCAAATATCAGAACAATAGGAATAGAAAAGGCTTGAATGCAATAGGAGAGGCTTGAATGTATGTGGGATCAAAACATTTCCTGGACCATTTAATGCACCTTAGCTATATAAATATGGAAAGTATTAAGCAGTGGTAACAGATAGTTCAGAAGAAAGCCAGGCCCTGAGCTGTAGGAGCTTGCCTCTCTGCGGGGCAGTCCATATGAAGACCCTCAGCCTGCAGGCCCAGCCTCACACAGCCCCCAGGCTGTGGGAAGTGCACTTAACTAGCCAGGTGGCCACGCTGCCCCAACAGCGGTATGTTTGCTGCCTCATCATCATCACACAGGCCTGAGATTAATAGCCTTCAGCCCAGAATAACCCTCCAAGTCCTCATCCCCGCTGTGTGCGTCCAAAAATTTCCATTAAGCCTCTGTTCCATTTCCTGGCTTCCCCACCCCACCTGGGCACTGAAACCTCAGTCTCCTGATGGTCCCTCTCAGCTCCTACTACCTGTGATTCTGCTTCAACGGCGACAGGCCTGGGAACAAATGCAAAGGAGCACCACTGCCCACAACTGGGATTCTCAAAGCATTTGCCCTGCCCCAAGATGCCCAAGGGCCTAACATCTGCCCAGAGGCGCTGTGTTTTAGCAAAGCGGCATTTAACAAACAGAAACCCACGACCCATTCTCTCCCACTCCAGGCAGGTGGCTCTCAGGGAGAAAGGAGACCTCGTGTTGTTTGCCACCTGTCCCCCCATTATCACCACCAAGATTCTGGTCCCCGGAGCACACTGGCCTGGAGGATTGTTACTCTATCTGTTAGACCTGGGTCTGCCCCCTTACACAAACCTCACTGCCGGTCACTCCCTAATTTCCATCCTTCCCCCAGAGAGTGACGGGTACAGTCAAAAGTCAAACAGTATGTTCCAAAAATTCTTCCCCTAAGACTTATTGAGGTTTACTCTCTATAGTTTACATGATTTTTTTAAGTGTTTATAGAGCTGGGCATTGTAGCACACACCTAGAATCCCATCTACTCAGGAGACTGTGGCAGGAGGATTGCTTGAGTCCAGGAGTTCAAGCCTAGGAGTTCCAGTACAGCCTGGGCAACATAAGGATACCCCATCTCTAAAAAATAAATGAGTAGACTTTTTAAGTTTTAAGTATTTATATTCAAAATAAATTTTATAATATTCGATAATACTGAATATGCTGTTTCGAATTTCAAATGTGCATGCAAAACCACACACAGGAGATTCTGCCAGTCCTAAAGAGGCATCTCCTAGAAGCCCAGAGTTGCTGTTGTTTACGGCCCTGCCCCCAGATCAGCTGCATGCATACAGCAACAGGACTCTGGGTCGAGGCCAAGTTCTCCACGTAGCTTTAACAATTATCATTAAGGTCTCCAGCCATTCTCCCTGGGCAAGAGCACCACAGCCAGATTATTGCTTTCTCCGTATCGTCTAGGGTTACCCCTCCCATTCCCCTTCTCATTTTTTGTGGCCTGGGCCCAGTTATCCAAAGCAGAAACCCTTTTACTCATTAAGGTAATATATTCTGCATCTCATTTAAATAAAATATGCTTTTAGGTTTCTGGTACAAACGTAATACTCCATTTTAACAAATGTGCTCATTTGCCTCCAGGAGACCTCCAAACACACACCTACACACACACACACACACACACACACACACACACACACACACATACACGTGCTTCTTGGCTGAAAACCAAAAGCTGTCACTGAGAAGAAAAAGCAATGAGAAAAATCCGTTCAGTGCCGAAGGTAATGGCTTTGTTTTAATAGGCCTTGGTGCCTTGATGAAAGCATTTTCTTTTAAAATGTTAGTATATTGAGAAATATTTCAAATACAGAAATTTGAAGAGAAAGTGATTGACATAATGAACCACCGTGAGCTCACTGCCCAGCTTTATCTAATCTTAACATTGGCTTCCTCGGCCTTTTGCTCTCAAAACAAAGGAAACACTACAGATAAAAATTGAAGCACCGGGGCAGACTTTTTCATCTGGCTCCTTTCTTTTCCTCACCAGAGATTCACCAGTTATATTTTCCTACATAGTAATGTGTTCATCAAATAGGTTTTGTGTATTTTTGTTTGTTTGTTTTGAGACGGACTCTCGCTCTGTTGCCCAGGCTGTAGTGTAATGGCACGATCTCGGTTCACTGTAACCTCCAGCCTCCCAGGTTCAAGAGATTCTCCTGCTTCAGCCTGCCAAGTAGCTGGGATTACACGGGTCCCCCACCATGCCTGGCTAATTTTTGTATTTTTTGTAGAGATGGGTTTTCACCATGTTGGCCAAGCTGATCTGGAACTCCTGACCTCAGGTGATCCACCCATCTCGGCCTCCCAAAGTGCTGGGATTACAGGCGTGGGCCACCGGGCCTGGCTGCATATTTTTTAAACTTTATATAGCAAGTATCCTTGCTTTTTAGCACAACATTATATTTTAGAGATTTTGCTGTAACATGTATGGAGTTGTAATTAATGTAGCTGAACTGCTATATAGTATTCCTAGGGATAACTCTCCTTACTTATCCATTCTTGTCTTTACAGTGATTTTGTTTTGTTTTGTTTGGTTTGGTTTGGTTTTTTTTTTCTTCTATTAAAAACAATGATGGCTGGGCGCGGTGGCTCACGCCTGTAATCCCAGCACTATGGGAGGCCGAGGCAGGTGGATGACCTGAAGTCGGGAGTTTGAGACCAGCCTGACCAACATGGAGAAACCCCATCTCTACAAAAAATATAAAAACAGGTGTGGTGGCGGACCCCTGTAATCCCAGCTACTCGGGAGGCTGAGGCAGGAGGATTGCTTGAACCCAGGAAGCAGAGGTTGCGGTGAGCTGAGATCATGCCATTGCACTCCAGCCTGGGCAACGAGAATGAAACTCTGTCTCAAAACAAAACAAAACAAAACAAAACAAAAAACAAAAAAAACACAAAAACAAAACAATGATCACAGCATTTCTTTTTGTTAATGGGTATTGATTCTCTGAGAAGTACGGTAATTTGATAAGGCCAGCCTCACATCTGAAACAGGGCAGACAGGTCTTTCTGACATCAAAGATCAGCATCTATGGGCTAAAGGCTGCCACAGCCGGCAGGCGGAGCAACAGAGGAGCAAAATCCCCGTGGCCCTGGAAGTGGGTATAAACTTCCCCCTGCAGCAGTGCTGTTTGTGAAGTGTCTGTCACAGGTCCCAGCATCTTGCTGGCACCATGTGAACAGCAGCCATCATGATTATCACCTGCCTGATCTCCCTGCTTGGCGAGAACCTCAGCCCTCCCCTTTAGGCTCACCTCACAGTGACACTTTTACTCATTAGCAGGCCCAAAGGGCTATCACTCATTTTACTGCAATTTCACCCCAACAAACCTATGTAGGCACATCCTGTTCAGCAAGCAAAAAATTTGCTTCACATATAAGTAGAGGATAATTCATAATTGTTGATTTTTCTTCCTTTCTGTCTTTGGGTGTTTATCCAGGGCATTATGTGCTGAATCCACCTGCCTTTAATCTTGCCTGAAGAATCAAGGTCGGATTTCCTAACATGGCGTCAAGGGCCCTTCCAACCAGCTCAGCCACTCTTTCCATCTTATATCCAGCCATATCCCACAACCGGCCTCCCAGTCTCTGCCTTCCCTTCATAGTGCTGGGCCCTGCATATCCAAGGGGTGTCCAATTAGCCTATAAAATCTAATTCAGATGTCACTTCCTCTCCAAGGCCTTGGCCAGGACCCATGTAGACATAATACATCACTCCTACATTTATGTTCCTGTCACCTTTTCCATGTAACTCTGCAATGCAGTAGCACTTAACAGCATCTTATTTTAATTGTGTAGACATGAGCCCCTCTCGCCCTCTAGACACAGAGAACCTTGTTGTTTTCATAAATTATTATATCCCCGTGCCTTGCCCTGAGCATAGTGGAGTGAATAAATGTTCCGCAAACACATCAAATGTGATTTTCTTCCATGACTAATTTCTAGCAAGAAGAAGAGGATTTCAGCATCTTGGCCTGTGTGAGCTATTGATTTATTTTTGAAAGAAGACTCTTTTAGCAGCCAATCTTTAATAAATTATTATAAACAAAGCCTAAAGCACTTAAACACTTTACCTTGTATGGACATTTTTCCTGCCTGCAGAATTTTTTTAAAGAAATAGACATATTTTGTTCTAGTTGCAGTAGAATAGAATTGCAGAACCTCAGCCTTTCCCTAGGTTCTCTCATCCTGATGCTGATGAAAAATGTACATAGATAGTAATAACAACACACTGATGGCAATTATGCCAGGCAAGCTTCATGTAGGACTTGCTATGTGTCAGGCTCTGTGCTATGTTAGCTGTACTTTTGCATATCTAACTGGCTCACCAACCTATAAGGTGGATACTACCACTATTTACATTTTGGCATTGAGGGAACTTAGAGGGTTTAAGTAATGTACCCAAAATCACACGCTGAGTAAATGGCTCAGCTGCTTAACCCTAGAGCCTGAACCTTCAGCCACTCATTAATTAGGTTACACCATGCTGCCATAATAGAAACCAAGCTTCATTTTCAAAGCAATTTCACAATGTGTTGCTTATTCCTCGCAACAACCCTAGGAAGTTGCATCAACCCAGGTAAAATGCTCATCTCCCCATTTTATAAGTTACGTAGCTATGGGTCAAATAATTTATGTAGCTAGGCACAGTGGCTCACAACTGTAATCCCAGCACTTTGGGAGGCTGAGGTGGGGTGATCACTTGAGGCCAGAAGTTCAAGACCAGTGTGGGCAACACAGTGATACCTTGTCTCTACAAACAGTTACAAAAAATTAGCTGGGCATGGTGGTGTGTGCCTGTGGTCCCACATAATCGGGAGGCTGAGGTGGGAGAATCGCTTGAGCCTGGGAGGTCAAGGCTGCAGTGAGCCAAGATTCCACCACTGCACCCCAGCCTGGGTAACAGAGGGGGACCCCATCTCAAAAAAAAACAATAGTTTACATGACATGCTCAGAGATCCATGGCTAGTAGTTACTGAATCAGCCAGGGCAGGCTAGGTTATGCTGTGGTAACAAGAAGCCCCTATGTCAGTGACTTAAAACAAGTAAGAGTTTGTTTCTCCTTTGGGCTATATATCCACTGTGGGCCTCCCAGGCCCTGCTCCATGCCTTCATCTTCATTCTGATCCTGAATATTGCCAGTCATCATGGCCGAGGAAATGAGGACGTGACAAACTATGTGCTGATTCTTAGACACAACCACATAGACACAGGCCGTTTCACATTCACTTCATTGGTCAACCCTAGCCACACTGCCACACTTGAATTCAGCCGGGGAAGAAGAATCCTCCATGATCCTTCCACAGAGGGGGACATCAAGTAGTACAGCCCACCACAAGGAGTAACAGCATCAGGACCTAAACCCAAAGATGCAACCTCCGTTGAAGTCAGTGAGTTGTCCCAGAGTAACGAATTTCTCTCCTTCATGCCTGCATCCCTGATGGGTTTCCTGAATGAATGAATCCTTGTCTAACGCATTCTCCACAGCCCCAAGGCACTTCATCTGAATTTATCAGAAATTCATTTCTACAATTTTCCAGAAAGTTTCAGAGAGAGGACGAGATAATCTAAACATACGTATATCTAAGACTCTGCAAATCCACTCCTGGGTATTCACTCAAGAGAAAAGAGTGCGTATGGCCACCAAAAGACATACACAAGAATGTTCACAGTAGCTTGATTCATCATTGCTCCAAACTGGAAGCAACCCAATTATGCCCAAAGGCATAATTCTAACATTATCTGAAAGGAAATAAAGCTCCTGAGGTCCAGAGGCATGAGCAGGCTGGCCCAAAGTCACACCTTTACAGGGCAGAGCCGAGGGAGAAGCTACATGTTATGCTATGCCCAATGCTCTACCCATCACCCCTCAAGTCACTGAGCCAGAGCTCCCTGCTTCTCTGCTTGTCCTACTCTTTCTGCTCAGCTGAAATACTGTCTTCTTCTCTCTAGGTCCCCTAGGACACTAATCACAGCTGCCCTTGACTGATCCCAGCTGATGCTGCATAAATTCAATTCCCTCCTCCCTGACCATCGAACCCATCATCCCAGTGCCCTGGCCAGGTTCCTATTAAAAACAAACAAACAAACAAACAAAAAAAACCTCTATACCCTGGTGATTACCTAGCAAACAGAAACAGGTTTGCAATTTCCACATTTGCCCTACAAAAAGAGGATAAAAACGTTGAGCCTTTATGGTTACAACTTAGATTTGGCATACCAAAACATGATGGAATATGTAGGAAAAAATAATATAAACTTTTTCTGGACTGCTGTCCCTGAGACAATAAACATATTTATATCATTTAAGTCCATTCCAGTGATCTCTTTTGTGCTTATTTTATAAGCACTTCACTTGAAAATTAGTCCTCATGTTAATATAAATGGACAGATATGAAAGCTGAGTGCTTTCTAGAATGAGAATATGAGACAACTTTGAGAAGATGAAAGCTGCTTTCAGAATGGCAGAATGTCCTTGTGCTTCTCTCACATACTTGGATGTCTTCAAAGGCCTTCAAATTTTTTAAAATGCATGGTGGGGGCCCACTCTGAGATCTGCCTCTCGATTAGGTCTGGCAAGTGAAGTCACCATCTGCTCTGCTCCAAGAAAGAGAAGGAAGCACAGACGGTCTGGATCACCCAAAGGGGGTTCCCTGGCTCTGATTTTGTTTTTGTTTTTGTTTTTTTTTAAATATCCAACTTGGGCAATGTCAGGGCAAAGCAAAGTTAACACTGCTTCACTGGAAGTAAGAGGCTGACCACACAGGCCAACGTCGGCCAACAGGTACATTTTTCAACAACTGTTGACGTACTACTATGTGCTGGAGCAACAGGCAGGTGTGGTAAACATCCCCTAAGCAGGCCGTCTCCTTCTCCTCCTGCGGCACTTGCAGGGGCTCCCTTACGTCTTGCTGCCATCTCAGGCTCACCTCTCCTGAATCCCTGACTCATTGACTTCCAAGAGCTGAACCGGGAACAATATTGAGCAAACAAAGATAGATGCCCAAGAGACAAATGCTGAACTGAGTCGAAGGGACCACTGTGGATTAACAGACAGAAAACAAATGAGTAGATAGATTTGTGTCTCTTTTTTTCATTTCAGAGAGGAAACATTGGAAAAATAATCCATAGTATGAGAGCAGCCACAGCCTGCAAATGACTGGTTTGAACTGCCCAAGCCAATGTACTGCATCCATCCAGGCCAGCCTCAGGAGCCTGCACAGCAGGTGCCTGGAAAAATAGCACAGCTTGGTTTCAAGCTATGAGTCACGTGTCAGTCCCTAAGGTCTGCATCGTAAAAAGAAGTTACTGAAAGTCATTCATCTGTCCACTACGAGCAAAACTCTGTGATTTTGTAAAATGGGAAAAATTGGAGTGAATTCCCTTTACCTTGTGAAATAAAAGAAAATGTCACCTGCCTTCCCCTTTTCTTCTCCATCCTTTTTTAAAGGGAAGAATTATGTTAGCCATTTTAAAGCCATATTAGGAGCAACTCAGAGACTGTTGTTCATAAACACATCAAGAATGTCACATTGTTTCACACACTACTTCACTGATTTCTCATCACATCCCTTGTGAAACCCATATTGATATTATCTCATTTTACACATGAGGAACCTGAAGTTTAAAGAGGCCAAAGTCACTTCCAAGACTGACCTCAGACCTCAGGACAGAAACACTAGACTCAAGAAGTCCTATTGACAAAGAGTTAGAGAAAGGAACAGAAATCCTAGAGAGGAACTGAATTCAAGAAAGCATAGAATTGTATGTCAGCCAAATTTATAATCAAATGCGAGAGTGAAATGAAAATTCTTTTAGTCATTCAAGGCCTGGGCTTATTACACAAAGACACACTTTGAAAATAATTTTTAGGACAAACAGTGCCACAAAAAGAGAAAATAAATTCCTTCCTGCTAGGCATGGAAGGAAAAGTGAATAAATATGTTAACAAGGTTTATTTTTTAAATAAGCAATGACTTTTAAAAATGTATAAAATCCTAGAACTAAAGATCAATACTAATATGATAGTGGGCAGGAGACAGAGAGACCAGCATGAGGTAAGAACACGCTAATATATTCACTCTGGTGGAAGATCTGGAATCTAAGGGTAACCGCCAGAAAAATAAAACTCAAACTTTAAAACTTATAAAATAAAATTTAACGTATCCAGTGGAAAATAGGAAGACAGAGAAAAATCTTTATAAAAGATGTGTAAAATGTTTTTCAAAAAGAAAATGAGATAGAGTAATAAATACTAATGTAATAACTAGTTAATATAAAAAGTCAAACTAACTGATTAAAAGATGAGATTCTCAAGTTGTATTTTGAAAAATATCCAGCAAAATGTTGCCTATAAGAGATGTATTTAAAACAAAAGTAGTACATGGAGAGGTTATGCAGGAGAAAAATTTTGCACCAGACATTTGTTTCAAATGGCAAGATAAATTGTATTTGAGCTACCGCAGTAGGGGAGAGAGACTTCAATACAGAGCTGAGTTCAACTCCAAAAGCAGCGAGACACCTTGGGATTTACAGCCAAGAAGCAGACAAGGGGGTCAGTGGGTAGAAAATTACTGAGAGGAACTTAGTTAGGTACCAAGAGTAGAGAGATTTTTGCTAAACTGGCTTAACAAGATTCTTGCTAAAGGTTAGGCAAGTACTTCGATATGAAGGTGGGGGGGATTAATAACTTGATGATGTATCAGGGTGGAAGGGTTCTCTCTAAACTATCTCAGTAGGATTCTTTGCTAGAACTGGGCTCAGCAGGCCAAAGACAAGACCTAATTGAGAAGAAGATTACTAGGAGCCTGTACAAAGTTTGATCAAAGAGGGAGTTTTTGTCAATTGAAACTAAAAATACAAAAATTAGCTGGGTGTGGTGGCCAGTGCCTGTAATCTCAACTACTCAGGAGGCTGAGACAGAAGAATCGCTTGAACCCGGGAGGCGGAGGTTGCAGTGAGCCCAAATTGCACCATTGCACTCCAGCCTGGGCAACAAGAGCAAGACTCTGTCAAAAAAAAAAAAAAAAAAAAAGAAACACCAAAAAAACCACCAGGGTAACCATCTTAATATCAGACTAAATAGAATTTAAGGCAAAAATTATCATAAGGACAGAGGTATGATAAATAAAGGTAGACAAAACACTAGATCAAGAAACTATAATGATCATGAACAAAATCCTCTAAATAATATAATATCCAAATACACAAAGCAGCATTGATAAAACTACAGAGAGAAGTAGATAAATCAACCATTGTAGCTGGAGATTGTAATATTTCCTTCACTAAAAAACATAAAGAAGACTAAAAGAAAAGTCATGTTACAGAAGAACTAAAAAAAAGTTTGTGTGCATAGGTGTATTGACAACATATGGAACATTTGCAAAATCCTACAATGTACCAGAAGCTTCATAGAGATTATGTCTCTGACCATAAAACGGGAACATCAGAAACCTACAACATATGTCTGAAAACTAAGAAATATTCTGCCTTTGGCAGAAAGAAGAAACAAAAATGAAAATTTAAAGATACTTAGAACAGAATGAAATAGAAGGCACTCCAAATAAGTATTTATGACTACAGATAAATACTGATTACCAAAATCCTACTGCAAACATCCTGCTGAATGGGGGAATTTTCCATGCATTCACTTTACGATCATGAACAAAAAAATAATGCGCATTTTTACCACAACTATAAAACATAGTACTGGAGGTCCTCAAGAAGACAATTATGCAAGAAAAAGAAATAAAGGAAAAAAAAAGAAAACACTGAAAATGAAAAGGTATAATGATCACTATTGATGAATGATATGACCACTTACATAGATCATTCATATAGATGTAATAATCCAAGGTAGATAGATAAAAGATGAACATAAATCACAGCACACCAACATGGCACATGTATACATATGTAACAAACCTGCACGTTGTGCACATGTACCCTAAAACTTAAAGTATAATAATAATAAAATTTAAAAAAATAGCATTTCTCTTTATCAGCAATAACTAACAAGAAAATATAATATGAAATAAGATAAAACAAAATAGCAATAAAATCTTTAAAATATCAAGGAATTTTTCTTTCTTTCTTTCTTTCTTTTTTTTTGAGATGGCGTCTCGCTCTGTCGCCCAGGCTGGAGTGCAGTGGCGCAATCTCAGCTCACTGCCAGCTCCGCCTCCCGGGTTCATGCCATTCTCCTGCCTCAGCCTCCTGAGTAGCTGGAACTACAGGCGCCCGCCATTACACCCAACTAATTTATTGTATTTTTAGTAGAGATAGTGTTTCACTGTGTTAGCCAGGACGGTCTCGATCTCCTGACCTCGTGATCCATCCGCCTCGGCCTCCCAAAGTGCTGGGATTACAGGCGTGAGCCACCGCGCCCGGCTGGAATTTTTCTAAAAGGAGTGAACCAGCCCTTTCCAGAGAAAATCTAAAACTCTTTCAAAGAATGCTTTTAAAAGGCTTGAACATATGGAAAGACTTACCAAATTTATGTGTGAGATGGTAACATGATAAAGAAGGGATTTTCTTATAATTAGATTGTAGTGCTAAGGTACTTTGGAGAAAACTGACATTTTTATAATGTCAGAAGTATCGAACTACATATATACATATATAAATAAACATGGGTAGATCTTTTAAAATAGCACTGTGTGAAAAAGGAAGAAACAAAACAAAACCACGGTGCAATGCCATTTATGTATATAAAATACATAAAAATAAAACAATACATATATTTTATGAGTATACATAAGTGGACTTACTAAACGTGTTGGAATGGATGCCTACGAAAGGAGGTAAATGGGGACGGAGGTGAGAGGAAAAAATGACTAGAATAACACAAAATACAGGACATTTTTCCAAGGACCAATTATGACAGTGTGCCATGAACAAAATGTAGTCTATAAAAAAGTAAGAGGTGGAAAAAAAAATGACATTTGGAGAAAAAAAACTGAGGTAGAAAATAGGACGTACAGCCGTGCTCATTCCTGTAATCCCAGCACTTTGAGAGGCCAACGTGGGTGGATCACCTGAGGTCAGGATTTTGAGACCCGCCTGACCAACATGGCAAAACCTGTCTCTACTAAAAATACAAAAATTAGCCAGGCATGGTGGTGTGCACCTGTAATGCCAGCTATTTGGGAGGCCGAGGCTAGAGAATCACCTGAACCTGGGAGGCGGAGGTTGCAGTGAGCTGAGATTGCACCACTGCACTCCTGCCTGGATGACAAGAGCAAAACTCCATCTCAAAAATAAATAAATTAATAAAAATAAGAGAGAAAATAGGATGTACATATATCCTCAAGAACTTAGTATTAGAAGCTACTAGGTCATGAGAACAATAATAAAGAAAACCTGTAATACTTGATGGGGCATAAAAATAAGAGTGTTCAGATTAATCTTTTTCAAAAAAAGCGGGCCCTAAGTAACCTACACTATTCAAATGACATATTCATGTTCAAAATAAGGAACATTCAGGCCGGGAGTGGTGGCTCACGCCTGTAATCCCAGCACTTTGGGAGGCCGAGGTGGGTGGATCACGAGGTCAGAAGATCGAGACCATCCTGGCCAACACGATGAAACCCCGTCTCTACTAAAAATACAAAAAAAATTAGCCAGGCGTGGTGGCAGGCGCCTGTAGTCCCAGCTACTTGGGAAGCTGAGGCAGGAGAATGGCGTGAGCCCGAGAAGTGGAGCTTGCAGTGAGCCAAGATCTTGCCACTGCACTCCAGCCTGGGCAACAGAGCAAGACTCTGTCTCAAAATAAATAAATAAATAAATAAATAAATAAATAAATAAATAAATAAAAATAAGGAACATTCTTTTGTCTTCCAAGTTCTCTGGACTGGAGAGGGTAAGCACATAATCTACAGACAGTCCCCTTCTTGGGTTCTTTTTAGGCCTTGGTAGAAGGCAGGTTGTATTGTGGATCTCCAGTTATACCTCTTGGTATATTTTCCTATAATTATTCATTTTAAAATAAGATGACTATAGAAAAACTTATGGATAAAATAAAAGAAAAATAATTAAATGAAAAATAATGTATAGTCAATACAATATGTTTGGCTTTTAGTACCAAATTTCTTAGTAATACATACTTGGATATTTTGAGTACAAGATAGTTTCATTATAATTCTTATTTTGTTTATTATGGCATTGTACTTGAAATTAAACCCAAATAAAACGAATCAAAGCTAGCCTATTTCAATTATGTGGTTCAGTTCTTTCTTCAAAAGGACCAAAACACCATGCTTAAAAGAAATATAGTCAGCATCTGAAAAACCACAAATCCCAAGTTCTGCTTCCTAGTAAATGAATATAGAAAAATATTCAGTTAATTATGATTTAACTCAATAAAAATTATACAAATCTACTTATCATTGCAGCAAGGAAAACAATGGTATATGTTGCCACAATTTAAAAAAAAAAAACAAAACATAAAATTGAATGAATTGCAGGTTGTCACTATTTGTCTAAGGCATCAAGTAGCACTTGACAGATGTTATCCTACAAGCCACAAGAAGCTTTACTGTGCTGAAGTACTTTAAAATGTTGCATTATATATTAGAATGGGGTGACTTCCAGAAAACTAACCCAGAGCCACTGATTTCATAAGCAGGAGCAGCTTTCAGCACATTGGACAGTGACCTTTACCTGCTACTTTCACATGCTGGTAAGCAAGCTGGTTGGAATGTTCTCTTGTTCTGCTGCCACGTAAAAAATTATCGATTAAATGTGAGACTCTGAAATTCATCTCTTACTGAGAAACATTTAAGAGCATTATAGAATTCATTTTACTCATGCAATAAATCTACTTAGTAATGAGAAAGAAGAATCCACTTGCAAATATGGAGAAATATTTCCTCAGGCAGTCACACCAGATAAATTATTCACCTCCAACAATATGTCACAAAATGTAATGCCAATAAACTTTTTTTAAATGCAGTGTTCACACATCCAGGAATGAACACCCGTGAAATGTTACTGCCTGCCGGTTTTTCTTAAAAGTACGCCTTGTGCATGACTCAGGACTTTTCCTGCATTGATGATAAGAATGGAGCATGTTCAATCGTCTCCTTACAGTGAAAACAAAAAGTGTACTTTTAAAAGATAAACAGGCTCTGAAAATAAATTTCTTTTGTGTATTTGCATGATACATGCTTCTAAATAAAATGCTTAAGAAAAATGTAAGCATTCTCTTACTTGTTTAATTTATTAATTTATTTTATTTGTATACATTTAGGGGTACAAGCGCAGTTTTGATACATGGATATATTGCACAGTGGTGAAGTCTGAGCTTTTAGTGTAGCCATTACCCAAATAGTGTACATTGTACTCATTACATAATTTCTCACCCCTCAACCTCCTCACCCCCCACAGCCTTCTGAGTCTCCAGCGTCTCTTATTCTATGCTGTGTCCATGAGTACACATTATTTAGCTTCCATTTATAAGTGTATTTTTTAAAGTTCATTAAGCACCTAGGATCTTTTCACATTTCCAAAACTTGCTTAATAATTCTTGTTCATGTAACCCTACAACTTGTTGATAACTACCTTGTTGGTAGGTATAATGACCTCCTCTTAAAAATTAGAAAACCAAATCTCAGAGAGGTCAAGTGACTTGCTAAAGGACACACAGCTAGTAAATTGTGGACTAGGCTTCAAAACTAGCTTTGTCTCACTCCATGTATAATGCTTTTTCTATTTATCATGATGCCAATTCACTATAATATGTTTTATATATAATTTTTGCTCAGTGGTTTATCTCACGTATAGCAAAATATAAACTGTATAGTTCATTTCATTAATATAAAATAAAATGTTTATGACATTGAGCTGCCAAATAGTTCTCCAGAGGCCCTGAAGTTACCAGCTTTGGGTGTAAAATAAATCCATCTCAGCCTTCTTTCATTCTGTATCTCACCGATAAATATCCAGATAGGCCAGGCCTTTTTTTGTTAGGAGAAAGTAAGTAGGTAATTCTTTGCCAAAATTCACACCCCTATTCAGAGAAGAATAATACCATTGTGTAATAGTCCATAAAGAATCCTCGTGTATGTTGTGATGAAGACAGAAGAGAGAAGAAGCAGGGGTCTGGGGGACAGCCTGGGACAAACGAGAGCCCATCTTAGAAGAGGATCTGGTCACACCTCACTGCAATGTCAGGACACATGGATGATAAAACCAGTGTTAGCCTCATGGAGTGGTGTAGTGATGTGGAGCTTGGGACCAGGAGTTAGTCCACAACAACATGACCTTGAGCAAGTTACTGAACTCTCCTGTGCTTTAAGTTCCTTGATTTGGACAAAGGAGATCACACAATCTGCCTTGCAAGGTACTGCAAGAGTTCAAAGAGTTTATAAGGTGGTGGTTGAACAAATGCCAGCCATTATCATCATCCTAATCCCCATCATATCACTTTTTCAGTTCCAGTAATGTGACCTTTAAAAATGTCCAGTACTATTTTCTCCAGGAAACCCCCAAAGGACACTGACATATGGCTGTGAGAGGCCAGAAACATCTCCCTTCCATTCCTCCCCATGTGCTTTAATGAAGAAAACATACAATCTTCTAATATAGCTATGAGTTCTGGACAACAAGACCAGGACCCTTCTCATCAATGTGATGGAGACAGCGGGATACCTTACAAATTAAGTAGATAACAGTGCACACTTATTATTTAAATGGAAGGAAGGAAAATGTCATCCATATCATGTCAAAATAACTACATGCAAAAATGCAAATAGATACAAAAGGAAGCACAAAAATATGCTGCACATCTTTGTGAATTAAATATCAAAATAAATTTGATTTTGAAGACGTTCATTTTTTTCCTTAAATATCCTTTAATTGGATTAGCTGGGTGTGGTGGCATGTGCCTGTAGTCCCAGCTACTTGGGACGCTGAGGTGGGCTCCACTGAGCCCAGGGAGGTCAAGGCTGCAGTGAGCCATGATTGCACCACTGCACTCCAGCCTGAGCAACAAAACAAGACTTTGTCTGAAAAAAGAAAAAGTCCTTTAACTGATATTCAATTGGATGGACAGAACATCTGTTTCAGAAGAAAGTTCCGGTGACAGAATGGAGTAGTTTTCAATAGTGTGCCTCTTTAAAAATGAAAGAAACTTTTATGAATAATTATCTCATTTGGAGTAGATTCATAATAATTTCATTATACTATCATTAGTACACTAGGTATACATGTATATCTGCCTGTGTACATTTATGCAAAATATCCTGAGAAAACTTAAGACAACATGGTGACATTTTGACTTAGAGTTTTTAAACCAGCATTTGAAAAGATGAAGGTCAATTGCATCTGATGGCTTGAATTCTGAATAAAGTGGTGAAGGTCAGATAAATAAGTAAAATGCCAATGATAAAATGAAACACATGGCTTTGAAGCAACAGAGAAGTCATGAGTAAGCATTTTTCAAGATCACAAAGGAAGAAGCAGCTGGCAAGCAATGGAAAAAAACAAGCTAAAGAAGAAAGAAATTGGGGAATAGAAAGGTACCACAGTGATGAGTCGAAAGGCAGCAGAGGCTCCAATGGCAGGGCCTTGGGGAAGATTCTTTAAAGAGGGGATATTTTAGAGCGCATTAACCAAAGCCCAATTTTTCCCCAAGAAACAACTGACAATTATTCATCAAATCTCACAAAATCTGACATCCAATTTATGATGTCCAGGTAAGGTATTGATAGATAACATTGATTGAGAAGTTACTATATGCCTGAAGAGATCAGAATTCAAAATCTGGTAAATAGAGGTCGGAATTCAAAATCTCATCTGACTGACTCCAGAGCCCATGAACTTCCACTCAGTAAATTACCTTTCTTACTGAGAGTGGGCACTTTGGCAAGGTTGCTTGCCAAAAGGTTGCTTTTATGCTGCAAGGGTTTTTGGGGACTCTATTTAACGGGACTTTGTGCCAGGTTCTATGCTAGGTACTGGGGCAACAGAGATGAATAAGAAATGTATTCTTCAAGTCTCTCTCATGCACTGAATTCACAATATTGTGACAGTTAACTGTTCTAAGCACTTCATAGAAGATGAAGGTGGATACAGTGTTTTCTTAACAATACTAGCAATTAAATAACTCCTGATGATACTGCAGTTTTTTTTGTCCCCAGGCGATTATTTGGGGTGTCAAGCAAGTTGTGAAAATAAGACACGTAGAAACGACGAGCAGATGACAATGACAACATTTTCAAAAGCCAGGAGGAAAATTCAATTTATGTTCCATCCTGTCCTTGGCAAATAGTCGGTTTCCTCCCCCTCTGTTTTCCTGCTAATCACAAGTGAATGTGGATCTGGCTTGTTTACTTCTTTGATCTGTTTGCTCATTGACATTTATACAGCTTTGAGACTGGGGTTTTTATTTCCTTTGTCATCTTGATGAATGCCTGGGCAAATACATCGCAAAATGACTGTGAAGCTCAATAAAACCAATTCAACAGGGGAACTTAGGCTATGGGGAAGGCAAGATGACATCTTATAAACAAGAAAATAACCTATGATGGCACCTACTGTGTCATGTGGAGTTTTGGGGAAATAGGTCTCAAAGTTTGGACTCATAAAAAGTTGTGCAGCTTAAGCTGGATATCAAAACTAGATGTAAATGCAACTGAAGCAGAGAACCAGTTATCTAGACAGTTCATATCTGAACTATTTCTTTAGGAAGTGTCTATGTAATTAAGGAAAAATATTTTCTGGTCAATTGGTCAATCATTTTGATTCTCTACTTCATATTTCAACAGTATACAATAGAAAGTCAAAGGGAAGTATCTGGGTAATCCAAGAGAAGACCAACTTTCCCCACATTTATGTGGATAATTTAATCCTAATTTGTATGTAATCTAGATTCCATGGTAATCATAGCTATTTTTCATTTTTCATCCTTCAGCTCTCAACTCAAAAGCCAACTCCTCAAGTAAATCTTTCTAGACCCCAGACAACGTTAAGTCCCCATGTTAATCACTCCAAATGATGCCTTCTCCTTTGATTGTATAGGACTACATATTTTTAATGTCTGTCTCTGCCTTAGAATACGCACTCCATGAGCACAGGATCTGAACTGAGTCTCTCCAGCCCTGTCTTGGCTCCTGGCACATAACAGGTACTCAAAAGAGGCTGTGAATATGAAGAGGGAGTGCAAATCTTAAAGCCTATGGGTATACAGATGAATAACAGCTCTCTAGTACTTTCCAAACTTGGCAGTTGTGTGTACATCTACATGCATTTGAGTTTGGTTTATGATTAATTAATATCCAGCAGAATTATGAACTTCTTTCCTATAATGAATGGCATTTTTTAAAATGGTAGAGAAAAGAAAATTTCGATGAGGTTCCTATAATGAAGGACTCAAAGAGGTGCTGCTGACTTCTGCCATAAGAACAGACTCTTGGAATAGTTTCTTCCAGCTATGACTTCATGCTGACCCATCGTAGATGCCCTTGTGGTCAGTGGCACGTGTTTGAGAGATGGCTGTGTGGGCTCCTGGTAAAGTGTGGGGCTCAGAACAACCACAGCTGACTGGCCTTCAAGAGAATCAAGCTCAGGAACTTGCCCTAAGTAGTATCATCAGAACTATCATTGTCATTGGAACCCTATTCAGGTCCATAATCTTAATTCAGAGACTGAAAATAGGAACATCTAGATTTTGAGCTTTTTGAGCTACCTTTTCTTTAGTTATTCATGCATGCGTGCATTCAACAAATGCTAATCGAGAACTTGCTATGTGCCAGCCACAACATGAGGCTCTAAATTTAGTGCAGGGCCTGAAGCAAAGCAGGTGTTCAACCATAATGACAGTTAGATGGACGGTCACATGTCCAGCCTTGAGAGGTTTCTGAAAAGGAGAGCACTTCTTGCTTGAACTGATCCTTGATTTAAATTAATCATAGGAAAAGCATTTCTCTTCTGTTTCATATAAGCCTTGTCTCTCCTACTTGCATTTATTTTGAAGTGCTAGTATGTTTTTTTACTTTGAATGCACTTTTTATCAGAAGGCCAGTGATAATGTGGTTCTATACAATCTTACACCTAGAAATGTGTATTTTAAAACAAAAGAAGTGCAAAATGTCTCCTTGTCCTTTAGACTTAGGCTTTTAAAAATGCCTAACATGTAAATACATATATACATATATGTGTCTACCTATCTATCTATATCTAATCTAATCTAGATATATACTGCACATAGACATACAATTCAGTTTGAACTAAAATCTTTCTGGTTTCAAGAGACCAGATGCCGTGAATTTTCTTACATTACTTTGCAAATACCCCCAATACAGATTCAACCATGACTCCTACATGAAAGAAGTGACATGTGACGACCTCCTTACTCAGAAAATTGACAGCCTCATGATGGTTGTCAAGCTGATTATTCCATTTGGCCACTGTTTATCTAATTGGTTAATTGAGTGAGTCATTATTTACAGATAATAAGCTGAAAACAAAAACGTTTGTCAAAAAATTTTAGGATAGTAAGAAATAGTGTTCTTACATGACTCTGAGTAAGGAGGTCATCACATGTCACTTCTTTCATGTAGGAGTCATGGTTGAATCTGTATTGGGGGTGTTTGCAAATTAATGTAAGAAAATTCACGGCGAAACAAAAAGACAGCAGTAACCTCTGCAGACTTAAATGACCCTGTCTGACAGCTTTGAAGAGAGCAGTGTTTCTCCCAGCACGCAGCTGGAGATCTGAGAATGGGCAGACTGCCTCCTCAAGTGGGTCCCTGACCCCTGACCCCCGAGCAGCCTAACTGGGAGGCACCCCCCAGTAGGGGCAGACTGACACCTCATATGGCCGGGTACTCCTCTGAGACAAAACTTCCAGAGGAACAATCAGACAGCAGCATTTGCAGTTCACAAAAATCCGCTGTTATGCAGACACTGCTGCTGAAACCCAGGCAAACAGGGTCTGGAGTGGACCTCTGGCAAACTCCAACAGACCTGCAGCTGAGGGTCCTGTCTGTTAGAAGGAAAACTAACAAACAGAAAGGACATCCACACCAAAAACCCATCTGTACATCACCATCATCAAAGACCAAAAGTAGATAAAACCACAAAGATGGGGAAAAAACAGAGCAGAAAAAATGGAAACTCTAAAAAGCAGAGCGCCTCTCCTCCTCCAAAGGAACGCAGTTCCTCACCAGCAACGGAACAAAGCTGGACAGAGAAAGACTTTGACGAGTTGAGAGAAGAAGGCTTCAGACGATCAAACTACTCCGAGCTACAGGAGGAAATTCAAACCAAAGGCAAAGAAGTTGAAAACTTTGAAAAAAATTTAGATGAATGTATAACTAGAATCACCAATACAGAGAAGTGCTTAAAGGAGCTGATGGAGCTGAAAGCCAAGGCTCAAGAACTACGTGAAGAATGCAGAAGCCTCAGGAGCTGATGCGATCAACTGGAAGAAAGGGTTTCAGTGACGGAAGATGAAATGAATGAAATGAAGCGAGAAGGGAAGTTTAGAGAAAAAAGAATAAAAAGAAATGAACAAAGCCTCCAAGAAATATGGGACTATGTGAAAAGACCAAATCTACATCTGATTGGTTACCTGAAAGTGACGGGGAGAATGGAACCAAGTTGGAAAACACTCTGCAGGATATTATCCAGGAGAACTTCTCCAATCTAGCAAGGCAGGCCAACATTCAGATTCAGGAAATACAGAGAACGCCACAAAGATACTCCTCGAGAAGAGCAACTCCAAGACACATAATTGTCAGATTCACCAAAGTTGAAATGAAGGAAAAAATGTTAAGGGCAGCCAGAGAGAAAGGTCAGGTTACCCACAAAGGGAAGCCCATCAGACTAACAGCTGATCTCTCGGCAGAAACTCTACAAGCCAGAAGAGAGCGGGGGCCAATATTCAACATTCTTAAAGAAAAGAATTTTCAACCCAAAATTTCATATCCAGCCAAACTAAGCTTCATAAGTGAATGAGAAACAAAAATACTTTACAAACAAGCAAATGCTGAGAGATTTTGTCACCACCAGGCCTGCCCTAAAAGAGCTCCTGAAGGAAGCACTAAACATGGAAAGGAACAACCGGTACCAGCCGCTGCAAAATCATGCCAAAATGTAAAGACCATCGAGACTAGGAAGAAACTGCATCAACTAATGAGCAAAATAACCAGCTAACATCATAACGACAGGATCAAATTCACACATAACAATATTAACTTTAAATGTAAATGGACTAAATGCTCCAATTAAAAGACACAGACTGGCAAATTGGATAAAGAGTCAAGACCCATCAGTGTGCTGTATTCAGGAAACCCAGCTCACGGGCAGAGACACACATAGGCTCAAAATAAAAGGATGGAGGAAGATCTACCAAGCAAATGGAAAACAAAAAAGGCAGGGGTTGCAATCTTAGTCTCTGATAAAACAGACTTTAAACCAACAAAGATCAAAAGAGACAAAGAAGGCCATTATATAATGGTAAAGGGATCAATTCAACAAGAAGAGCTAACTATCCTAAATATATATGCACCCAATACAGGAGCACCCAGATTCATAGAGCAAGTCCTTAGTGAACTACAAAGAGACTTAGACTCCCACACAATAATAATGGGAAACTTTAACAGCCCACTGTCAACATTAGACAGATCAACGAGACAGAAAGTCAACAAGGATACCCAGGAATTGAACTCAGCTCTGCACCAAGAGGACCTAATAGACATCTACAGAACTCTCCACCCCAAATCAACAAAATATATATTTTTTTCAGCACCACACCACACCTATTCCAAAATTGACCACATAGGTAGAAGTAAAGCTCTCCTCAGCAAATGTAAAAGAACAGAAATTATAACAAACTGTCTCTCAGACCACAGTGCAATCAAACTAGAACTCAGGATTAAGAAACTCACTCAAAACCACTCAACTACATGGAAACTGAACAATCTGCTCCTGAATGACTACTGGGTACATAACAAAATGAAGGCAGAAATAAAGATGTTCTTTGAAACCAACGAGAACAAAGACACAACATACCAGAATCTCTGGGACACATTCAAAGCAGTGTGTAGAGGGAAATTTATAACACTAAATGCCCACAAGAGAAAGCAGGAAAGATCCAAAATTGACACCCTAACATCACAATTAAAAGAACCAGAAAAGCAAGAGCAAACACATTCAAAAGCTAGCAGAAGGCAAGAAATAACTAAAATCAGAGCAGAACTGAAGGAAATAGAGACACAAAAAACCCTTCAAAAAATTAATGAATCCAGGAGCTGGTTTGTTGAAAGGATCAACAAAATTGATAGACTGCTAGCAAGACTAATAAAGAAAAAAAGAGAGAAGAATCAAATAGACACAATAAAAAATGATAAAGGGGATATCACCACCGATCCCACAGAAATACGAACTACCACCAGAGAATACTACAAACACCTCTACGCAAATAAACTAGAAAATTTAGAAGAAATGGATAAATTTCTCGACACACACACTCTCCCAAGACTAAATCAGGAAGAAGTTGAATCTCTGAATCAACCAATAACAGGATCTGAAATTGTGGCAATAATCAATAGCTTACCAACCAAAAAGAGTCCAGGACCAGATGGATTCACAGCCGAATTCTACCAGAGGTGCAAGGAGGAACTGGTACCATTCCTTCTGAAACTATTCCAATCAACAGAAAAAGAGGGAATCCTCCCTAACTCATTTTATGAGGCCAGCATCCTCCTGATACGAAAGGCTGGCAGAGACACAACCAAAAAAGAGAATTTTAGACCAATATCCTTGATGAACATTGATGCAAAAATCCTCAATAAAATACTGGCAAACCGAATCCAGCAGCACATCAAAAAGCTTATCCACCATGATCAAGTGGGCTTCATCCCTGGGATGCAAGGCTGGTTCAACATACACAAATCAATAAATGTAATCCAGCATATAAACAGAACCAAAGACAAAAACCACATGATTATCTCAATAGATGCAGAAAAGGCCTTTGACAAAATTCAACAACCTTCATGCTAAAAACTCTCAATAAATTAGGTATTGATGGGATGTATCTCAAAATAATAAGAGCTATCTATGACAAACCCACAACCAATATCATACTGAATGGGCAAAAACTGGAAGCATTCCCTTTGAAAACTGGCACAAGACAGGGATGCCCTCTCTCACCACTCCTATTCAACATAGTGTTGGAAGTTCTGGCCAGGGCAATTAGGCAGGAGAAGGAAATAAAGGGTATTCAACTAGGAAAAGAGGAAGTCAAATTGTCCCTGTTTGCAGATGACATGATTGTATATCTAGAAAACCCCATTGTCTCAGCCCAAAATCTCTTTAAGCTGATAAGCAACTTCAGCAAAGTCTCAGGATACAAAATCAATGTACAAAAATCACAAGCATTCTTATACACCAATAACAGACAAACAGAGAGCCAAATCATGAGTGAACTCCCATTCACAATTGCTTCAAAGAGAATAAAATACTTAGGAATCCAACTTACAAGGGACGTGAAGGACCTCTTCAAGGAGAACTACAAACCACTGCTCAATGAAATAAAAGAGGATACAAAGAAATGGAAGAACATTCCATGCTCATGGGTAGGAAGAACCAATATCGTGAAAATGGCCATACTGCCCAAGGTAATTTATAGATTCAATGCCATCCCCATCAAGCTACCAATGACTTTCTTCACAGAATTGGAAGAAACTACTTTAAAGTTCATATGGAACCAAAAAAGAGCCCACATCGCCAAGTCAATCCTAAGCCAAAAGAACAAAGCTGGAGGCATCACGCTCCCTGACTTCAAACTATACTACAAGGCTACAGTAACCAAAACAGCATGGTACTGGTACCAAAACAGAGATATAGATCAATGGAACAGAACAGAGCCCTCAGAAATAATGCCGCATATTTACAACTATCTGATCTTTGACAAACCTGAGTAAAACAAGCAATGGGGAAAGGATTCCCTATTTAATAAATGGTGCTGGGAAAACTGGCTAGCCATATGTTGAAAGCTGAAACTGGATCCCTTCCTTACACCTTATACAAAAATTAATTCAAGATGGATTAAAGACTTAAATGTTAGACCTAAAACCATAAAAACCCTAGAAGAAAACCTAGGCATTACCATTCAGGACGTAGGCATGGGCAAGGACTTCATGTCTAAAATGCCAAAAGCAATGGCAACAAAAGCCAAAATCGACAAATGGGATCTAATTAAACTAAAGAGCTTCTGCACAGCAAAAGAAACTACCATCAGAGTGAAAAGGCAACCTACAAAATGGGAGAAAATTTTCGCAACCTACTCATCCGACAAAGGGCTAATATCCAGAATCTACAATGAACTCAAACAAATTTACAAGAAAAAAACAAACAACCCCATCAAAAAGTGGGCAAAGGATATGAACAGACACTTCTCAAAAGAAGACATTTATGCAGCCAAAAGACACATGAAAAAATGCTCATCATCACTGGCCATCAGAGAAATGCAAATCAAAACCACAATGAGATACCATCTCACACCAGTTACAATGGCGATCATTAAAAAGTCAGGAAACAACAGGGACTGGAGAGGATGTGGAGAAATAGGAACACTTTTACACTGTTGGTGGGACTGTAAACTAGTTCAACCCTTGTGGAAGTCAGTGTGGCGATTCCTCAGGGATCTAGAACTAGAAATACCATTTGACCCAGCCATCCAATTACGGGGTATATACCCAAAGGACTATAAATCATGCTGCTATAAAGACACATGCACATGTATGTTTATTGCGGCACTATTCACAATAGCAAAGACTTGGAACCAACCCAAATGTCCAACAATGATAGACTGTATTAAGAAAATGTGGCACATATACACCATGGAATACTATGCAGCCATAAAAAAATGATGAGTTCATGTCCTTTGTAGGGACATGGATGAAATCAGAAATCATCATTCTCAGTAAACTATCACAAGGACAAAAAACCAAACACCGCATGTTCTCACTCATAGATGGGAATTGAACAATGAGAACACATGGACACAGGAAGGGGAACATCACACTCTGGGGACTGTTGTGGGGTGGGGGGAAGGGGGAGGGATAGCATTAGGAGATATACCTAATGCTAAATGACAAGTTAATGGGTGCAGCACACCAGCATGGCACATGTATACATATGTAACTAACCTGCATATTGTGCACATGTACCCTAAAACTTAAAGTATAATAATAATAAAAAAAGAAAATACTAATAATAAATAATAAAATCATATATGGGAACAAAAAAAAAGAAAATTCACGGCATCTGGTCTCTTCAAACCCGAAAGATTTTAGTTCAAACTGAATTGTATGTCTCTGTGCAGTATATATCAAGATTAGATTAGATCTATAATAGATAGTCACATATATGTATATATATATATATATGTATTTACATGATAGGCATTTTTAAGAGCATGAGTCTAAAGGACATGGAGAAATTTTGCACTGTCTTCTTTTAAAATACTTAACACGTTTCTAGGTATAAGATTTTATGGAACCAAATTATTTCACTGGGAAATAAGAAAGTCTTCTCGGGCTGGGTGCCCTGGCTTACACCTGTAATCCCAGCACTTTGGGAGGCTGAGGCTGGCGGATCACGAGGTCAGGAGATCGAGACCATCCTGACTGACACAGTGAAACCCCGTCTCTATTAAAAATACAAAAAATTATCTGGGCATGATGGCACATGCCTGTAGTCCCAGCTACTCGGGAGGCTGAGGCAGGAGAATCACTGGAACCCAGGAGGCGGAGGTTGCAGTAAGCCGAGATCGTGCCCTTGCACTCCAGCCTGGGCTACACAGCGAGACTCCATCTCAAAAAAAAAAAAGAAAAAAGAAAGTCTTCTCTTTACTTTCCCTTAAAACACCCAATAGATCAGCTTGTGACACATCAATGAGATAAAATTTTCATTTTTTTATTAGTGGGGAAAAGGTGACAAAGGCAGGCAGATTACATTTGCTCTGACAAACACTTTGTTGGAAAGTTACTCTTTTCCAGACTACTTCATTTATACCAGAACAGGACACTATATATTTGTGTGTCTGAGATGTGCTCCCATATAGCGACATAGCTGCAGGGCTGATAGAAAGGCTTCCACCCATCCATGCTCTTGGAGAACTTCATGGTGATCCATCTCCCCTTGGCATCTCTTCTATGACCCTCAGAATAGAAGTCTCCCGGACCCCAGACCAAGACGACGGGGTCTGAGCTTACCTTCTCTCTGCTCAGTGTCTGTCCCTCCAGCTGAATCCCACTGGGGATGCCACCAGGCTCAGAAGGCTCAATGCTGAGAAACTGGCCCATCCAGGAGTGGCCTGAACCGTCTTTTAATGAGCTACATAGAAATGTCACAAATTTGGAGGGCTATTGTAGAAAAGCTTTTCTTTGACTATCACTACACTAGATTCCATTTGTTCTTGAATTAAAATTCCCTCCATGGGCGCTTCTCCAGAGTGTAAACTGCCTGAGCTAGCCAGGAGCTTCCTGCATGCTGGATCCCACCTAATGACGAATATTATTTAATCACAAAGATAATGGAAGGTAGGGTGGGACAGTGCAGGAAGTTAGAGAAGTAATGCTTGTTTTAAATTAAGCCTTTTTTTTTTCTCCCTAAACAAAGGATAACACAGCATTCAACATTCAATTTCCAACCAGGAATGGAACTAAAATGAATAGAATACCTACTAAGCACTCTCAAACAGTTTACATAACTATCACACGCAGGACTATCACAATGGTAATGGCAAAGTCTAATTACCAACCCCAATGAAGCACAAAGAACTTAAGTAATTTTGTCTAAATCCACAAAGAGAGTGAAGCTGAGAATCAAAGCCAGGTTTCTCTTTTTGTCAAGTCAAACTTTCTTAACCAGAGAACCTTCTATTTTTCATGTTCTATTGCACGTCATCAGTCATTTGCTCATTTCAGAATTGGAGTTGCTAAAGGCTGTATCTCTGCAATGTTCCGCTGGCTCTTCAGAAACCTGTTTGGTATTAGACTTTTCAGACAAGTGGTCAGAAGGCCCATGCAATCAGTTGCAAAATAAATGCAGAAAATGATGAATGAGTATATTTTCTCACATAGACACTGGCTGGCTTGATTTGAGTACTGTTGCAGTGGTCCTCAACATGCACTGAAACCCAAAATCCCAAGGATGAAATGGAAACCCTCAGATAGAGAAGAAAAAGGCATCAAAGTACTGAAAAGATAATCAGAGGAAGAGACTTGCACGTTAGAGGATGACAAGATCTGAGAGCACCAAAAGGAATGGTCCTTTTGCCCAACATTTTCTCCAGCTGATTTACAAGATGACTTTGATTCTGATGTTGAAATATTCACCTATTCTTTCCTGCATTTCTTCTGTGGGGCTTTCTGTTGAAGAACTTCCAGTCATTTGGAACAGACTGGGAACATTTCTCCCAGGTTGGAACTGGGCAACCACTTAGGAAAGTCATGAGGTGTGGACACAGGATGGGTAAGTTTGCATGGGTTGAAGGCAAAGAGGCAGGCTGGGAGGACTGAGGACAGGGCAGGACAGTGGCCCTGGGTGGGCCACTCTACTGAGGGAAGTAGTATCATGATACAATCTATGACAGAGCCTTTGCAGAGAACAACCCAGAAGGCAGTGCTCCTGGTTTGGCTTTAACTAGAACTGAGAGCATTAAACAACCTGGTAAGATCAGACCCTGCCTAAGCCTCTCCAGTGGCTTCCAACGCAGCAAGAATCAAATCCCAGCTCCTTGACACAGCTCGTACCACGCACTGGTGGCCAAGCCCCTGCAGTCCCACAACTCCTTCTCCTGCACTCTCCTTGCCCTCCTCTACTCCAGCTTTATCGGCTTCTCTCTGTTCAGACACACCGCGCTCGTACCTCCTTAGGGCATGTCGCCATGCTTTCTCTCCCTGGAATCCTCTTCCAATGGCCTCTATATGCCTCCCTCCTTCTCAGCACTTGGCCTTTTGTCTAAATTTCTCCTCCTCACAGAGGCCCACTCCTCATCGCACCAACCAAAAAGTGCCTCCTTTCCTCCAAAATAATTTCTCCCTAGCGCAGTCTCCTCTTTGTATCTTTCAAAGCACTTATCACAGTGTGGTATCCTCTTGCTATTGATTTATCCACGTGTGTATTGTCTGGACTTTTCCACCAGAAAAAAAAAATGCCCCTGAAAGCCAGGCTCTTACTCATCTCGGTGTACTTGGCGGGCAAGAACAATAATAGCAATATTTATATAACCTTTATGATGAGCCAGATACTGTTTTTAGTACTTTACGTATATTAATTCACTGAATCCTTTGGGGTGGAATTATTGGTCTCACCATCTTCCAGATATGAAGCCAAAGTGCAGAGAGGTTCGGCAACTTTCCCAAAGTCACACAGCTATCAGGACAAGAGCTGGGAACCTAAAGAAGCTGTCTCCAGAGTGGAAACTTGACCTGCTCTGCTCTCTGCTTCTATGTGTTGGGGGAGGACGGGAGACTTCCTGGAAGGAGACACAGAGAGGCTGTGGGGGCCTCACATCAGCCTGCCTGCACCCAGTCCTCCTCTTTCGTGCCTCCCTCTGTGCCCTCTGTTCTGAGGATCCCATATGCCAGAAGAAGAAGACATGGTGGGACCAAAATGCTGTATCCAGGGAGGGGATGGGTTTGCTTCGTGATCCTCAGAGGCTGAGCTGTGTCTTCTGTATCTCAGTAGGCCCCGTGCCTAGCACAGAGCCTGACACATAGGAGACCTTGAAGGGAAGAGAGAGGGAAGTGTCCACACTGGGAAGGGTGAGGAGGGCTTTCCTGGCAGAGAGAAAAGCACATGTAAATGTTTCAGCTTATAAGCAGAGATAGCACAGGCAGGGAAAGCTGTGGGACAGGGATGCAGAGGGGGAGGAGAAGAGGCTGGAAAGATAGGCTGTGGCCAGGCCGAGAAGAGCTCTGAATGCCCAGTGAGGGAGTTCAGGCTTTTCTCCTCTACTGATTGTTTTTATTTTACTGAGGTGTAACTTACATATACCAATTTTTAGTGTAGAGTTGATGTGTTTTGACAAAATGTACACATACACTTAACCCCCACCACAATGATGATAATCAACATTTCTATCACCCCCAAAAATCTGCTTATCACTAAAGGTTTTTATCCAACAGAGTGATATGGATTGCTGTTTCAGAAGGATGATTCTGCAGATGGTGTGAAGAGGGAGTGGATAAAGGAGGGGTGGGAGATGTTGTCTTCAGTCATGGAGCGAGATAGATCCACCAACAGCCAACCACTTTCAAACACTCCATGGAACATTGTTAATTCACCGACTTTGTCAAAATGCCAAAAGAAAACAGCACAAAACAGCAAAACTGGTCTGTGTGGGCTAGGCATAGGGGTTTTTGTGAGAGCAAGCGATTGTTGCCGATCAATAAAGCCACAGCAATCCACACTAATCACGAGGAGAGATGATGAGCATTTTCGCTGGGTCTGTATGTTTTATGACTGTAGGCACGGTCTCTGAGACCCATTCCAACCAACCGCTCTGAGAAAATTAGCTGCCAACATGACACACGACCCAAACCAATAGACCAGGGGAGCATAAAGTGACGTCCACTGCAGTCTATTGCACTGAGTGTGGCTGTCACCAGAGCCACCGCAGCAGCAGAGAGGCAGCCTGGCCCAGCCAGTCAAGACACATGTGCCACCAACTCACAATATCAAACAGCCAAATGCTTTGTGCTCAGAAATAGTTAACTAGTCTTATGAAGTACTTACTGTACATTTTACACAAATTAACTGATTTAATAATCTTAACTCCATTAGGTAAGTAGTATTCATAGCTTCATTTTAGAGATGATAAAGCTGAGGTACAGAGAGGTCTAGCCACTTGCCTAAGATCACACAGCAGAGCTATGTTTCAGAGCCCAGTTCCAGGGACCCCGACACCATGACCCCCATGCTTCCCTGCCTTTTCCATAGCATAATAGTTAAGAGCACAGGTTTCAGAGACAGACTGATCGAGATCCATATTCTGGTTTTGCCACTAACCAGCTGTGTGACGTCAAGACTTCACCTCTCTGAGCCGTAGTTTCCTCATCTGCAAAATGGACAGAGCTGCTGCGAAGACTTAAATGTGCAATGGCACCTGGCACAGAGTGAGTCCACAATGAAGAGGGGATGTAATAATATTTATTTGGGAGGTCACAAACCCTGTTTATTCCAAGATACACGTTATTCAAACTTCACAGTCAGCCACCTAAAAAAAAAAACCTAAATACAAATCAACTCTTATTGATTTTAATTAAAGCTTTATTATTCCATTAGATGAGGAAAAATTTCCGTAGAAGCATTTATTCATTTGAACAATATTAAGTACTTGCCTGATGCCAAGCACTATTCTAGTTTCTGAAATTACAATGGTGAATCTAAGAGGAAAATCACTGACCTCAGGGCAGGGACAGTCAGATATTTTTAATGTATTTTTAAACCAAGTTTGTATAATGTTCTTTTTAATTTTAAAAATCTAACAAATCAGGCTGGGCACAGTGGCTCATGCCTGTAATCCCAGTACTTTGGGAGGCTGAGGCGGCAGATCACCTGAGGTCAGGAGTTCAAGACCAGCCTGGCCAACATGGTAAAACTCTGTCTCTATTAAAAATACAAAAATCAGCTGGGTGTGGTGGCACATGCCTATAGTTCCAGCTACTCGGGAGGCTGAGGCAGGAGAATCACTTGAACCCGGGAGGTGGAGGTTGCAGTGAGCTGAGATTGTGCCACTGCACTCCAGCCTGGGTGACAGAGTGAGACTCCATCTCAAAAAAAACAAAAAAAATCCAACAAATCCGCATATATCTCTCTAATAAGACTGCGGAGGTAATCTAAAAAAATTCGGGTGTCTGTCTTTTGACTGGAATTATACCAACCCATGCACTGACACTGCAGTCTCCTAAGAAATCTACTTAATTAAAAAGTTTTGGTGGTCAAGGTCTTTAAAAAAATACGGACCTACAAAGACAAATTAAATAACAGAAATTTTTAAAAATTGTTTTAAACCTTTGATGATTTAAAACGAGTAAAAAAATAAAATCCCTGGGCTAAAATAAATCACTGGATGGTGTCTAAGGCCCCTTCAACCATCGGAAAGTAATTGATTCTCTTCAGTCAATTTTAAACATTGCTTTTGCAGTCTTATTTGCGCCGCTGATTTTCCCAGTGAAAACAACAGGGATGTTAAACAAGAAAAAATTTCCAGGCTGCTAAATGAATGTCTGACTGGTTCTTTCTCATATCTCAGCTCAACTGGGGCCTCTTTCAAGAATCCCCCATAACCATAACCTTCCTAGCTAAAGTAGCCCCACACCCTTCCGCCGCTACCCATTACCCTATTTCATTTCTCCGTGTCACTTATCACCACCTGAAATTATTTCGTTCATTGATCAGTTACTTGTTTCTTGTCTGACTCACACATTAGAATGTAAGCTCCATGGGCTAGGGTCTCGCCTGCTTTTCCCCACAGCATCCCTAGCAGCCAGAATGCTGCCTGGTGCACATACTTGTCGAGCGAGTAGATGAATAGCAAAACTGGTGTTTTCCTGTGAAAGGGTCTCCTAGCTCAGCTGCAGTTAGGAAGGAGAAGCAGGTACATATTACTAAGTTCTCCTTAAATAGCCTACAAAACAGGGTGGGGGTGGGGGATGGGGGGGCTGTCTTTCATTCATTCGTTCACTGGACAGATGTTTACTGAGCATCTACTGCAGACCAAGTACTGAAACATGCTGGCCACATGCAGGAGAGTGAAATAGACCTAGCCCAGGTTCTTAAAGAAGACATTATTGCACAAGCCTAAGCCTGGAACTTTTGCAAAGTATACACTGATGAGGCTACTTCAGAGATATAATGTATCTAAAACCCTCGGCATGGTCCCTGGAGCGTAGTAACCACGCAGTAACCGATCATGAGGAGGAGGAGGAGGAGAAACAGAATGAGATGACAGTGATTATTACTACTTCATATGCAGAAAAACAAAGTAACCTCCTCATCATCAAATGTAACCTCAGACATCAAATGAGTAATAAATATCTACAGGGGTCATTAAAAAAATTTAAATCATCTGCCCCTGGACTAACTAGGGGAATTCACTATAGGTTCTCTCTGCAGATAAGAAGAATCACCATGGACAAGTCTGATGATGTGTTTCACTGTAATATCAAAAGCTGCATCCTTGCCATCATTTATATTATCAATAATGTACCTGGGACTTCTGGTTCTGGAAAAGATAGAATGAGTACACTCTATTCTTTCTCTCCCACTGATTAGAACTAAAATCTCTGGACAATTTAGATAAAGCAACTGTATGAGAGGATTCTAAAAAATAAGTAATAGCAGGCATGCTGGGGTGGAAAATTACAACTCAAAGAACAACCAATACAGCAGTGAGTTTCCTGGTTTAATTTTTTTTTCAATTCTCCCAGCTTAGACTCTAGGGTGGCTCACATCCCAGAACTACACAGCAGGCACAGATGGAAAAATCTCCAAGAGAAACTTTCTTTTTCTAGCCAGAAGACTGGAAAGGGGGACCTCTGTGGAACATAGGATGTGGGAGGTATCCCCTTTTTCTCCCTTTTTCCTCTGCTGGCCTTGTCTCAAGGCAAGTCCCAGGCATGAACCAGCACTCCCCCAGCAGCTGCAGGAATACCAGCCACAAGGGCACCCACAACTCAGAGAAAATCCTACTCATTGGCCAGAGAAATTGGCCTCTTTGGTCTGAAGAGTGTGTGAGAAATTTCTTTTCTCTCTCTCTCTCTCTCTCTCTCTCTCTCGTATCTCACCATTTTGCCCAAAGGTAGACCCATTCACAAAAAGTGTGGAACTGTGCAGGGAGGCTAAACTTCAGATTTCTACCAGAAAACCAAGATAAAGGGACTCTGGGAGCCAGAGACTGTGAGGGCAATCACAAATTGAAAGGCGTGGCAAAAACTACCTTCTAAATCTAGGTATGAAATCCTAGTTCATGCCCAAGCTGTGTATACACAGAATCAACTCAAAGCAGTATAGCAAAACCTCTGGGAACTGAACTATACTAGACACCATCCCCCAGATTATAGACTGACCCCGAGTGGCACATCTGGGGATGAAACCAAACAGCACCACAAAGGCCGTGAAAATTAAATTTACATTGGATCCAGAGCCTACAGGAGGTAGGTCAGCCCTTGTCATCTGAACCTTACTTACTGAGTTGATTACCCACTTTCAAAAAAGAAATGAACATTCTTCATAGGATTTTAACAGAACTTAGATTCTTGTAACATAATAATCAAAATCTATAGAATGTAATTTGTGGTAGGATAAAGAATAACCCCTGCAAAGATATCTAATTCTTAATCCCCAGAACCCATGAATATGTTACCTTGCATGGTAAAAGGGATTTTGCAAATGTAATGAAGTTAAGAGTGTTGAGATGGGCAGATTTCCTGGATTGTATAAGTGAGCCAAGTGTAATCACAGGGCCCTTCTATAAGAGCAGCAGGAGGATCAGAATCAGACAAAAAAGAGGTGTGAAGACAAAACCAAAGGTTGAAGTGATGTGTTTTGCAGATGGAGAAAGGGGCCACACAAAAGGAATGCAGGCACCTCTAAATATGGAAAAGACAAGAAATGTATTCTCTCTTAAAGTCTCCAGAAGACATGCAGGCCTGCCAACATCTTAATTTTATAATTCTGATCAAAATTATAAGAATAAATTTGCCTTAAACCAAGAGTTTGTGGTAATTTGTTACATCAGTAATGAGAAACTAATACACAATTTAAAATTACCCAAACCAAAAAACTGGGAAAATATAATTAGCTCTCAAGGGAAAAGACAGCAGATACCAATGCCAAAATGACCAGATGTTGAGATTATCAGACAAAGACCTTAAAAAAACTACTGTAACCATATTCCATAAAATAATGGTAAACACTCCTTAAATTAATTGAAAGAAATTCTCAGCACAGAAATAAAAACTATACGGCCGGGCGCGGTGGCTCACGCCTGTAATCCCAGCACTTTGGGAGGCCAAGGCAGGCGGATCACGAGGTCAGGAGATCAAGACCATCCTGGATAACACGGTGAAACCCCGTCTCTACTAAAAATACAAAAAAATAGCCGGGCATGGTGGCAGGCACCTGTAGTCCCAGCTACTTGGGAGGCTGAGGCAGGAGAATGGCGTGAACCCAGAAGGCGGAGCTTGCAGTGAGCTGAGATCGCACCACTGCACTCCAGCCTGGGCAACAGAGCAAGACTCCATCTCAAAAAAAAAAAAAGAAAAGAAAACAAAAGAAAAACTATACAAAAAAACTAAAAATTACAATAACTGAAATTATAAACTCCCTGTATGGATTCAACAGAGGAATAAACATGACTCAGGAAAGAGCTGATGAACTTGAAAATAGGTCAATTAAAAGTATCTAATCTGAATAATAGAGGATATAAAAATTGAGAAAAAAAGTCATACAGATTCGGGACCTATGGAACTATATCAAAAGTTCTAAAATTCATGCTATCAGGGTCTCTAAAGAGGAGGAGAAAAAGATAGGTGCTGAAAAAATTTTTTAACAATTTTAACAAATGAGTAAATACTCTTCAAATTTATTATAGGACATAAATTTACATATTCAAGAAGTTTAGTGAAACTCAAATAGGATAAACTCAAAGAAAACTATGACCAGACACATTATAATCAAACTGTGGAAAAACTAAGATATATATAATTATATTTAAAATATTTTTAAATTAACCATTATATGCAGTGTAATTACATATTGCATGGCAGTGTTTCTCAACCAGGTTGGTTTTGCCTCCCCAGAGACATCTGACAAGATCAGATGCTTCCAACTTTTTAATTTTTCTCACATTGGGAGTGGACTGCTATTGGTACCTAATATGCTAAGGATACTACTATACATCCTACAGGACACGAGCCTCACAACAAAGAATATCTAACCCAAAATGTCAATAATGCTGAAGTTAAAAACTGCTGATATTAAGGGAACAACAATTCAAATGACTGCAGATTTCTCACAAGAAATCATGGAAGCCAGAAAACAATGGAACCTTTTTAAGTGCTGAAAGAAAAGGATTGTCTACCCAGAATTCTATATTCAGTGAAAACATCCTTCAAGACTGAAGGCAAAATAAAGATATTTACAGATAAAGAAAAACAAAGAGAATTTGTTTTCAGCAGTTCTGATCTAAAAGAGACAACAAATGAAGTTATTCAAGTAGAAAGGAAATAACACTAGAAAAAACTTGGAAATGGTAATATCTGGATAAACATAATTGACTATTTTTCTCCTCGAATTCTTTAAAATATGTATGACTGTTGAAATTTGGAAGAAGTAGTGCTGTGACTTGGGCTATAAGCAGAAGAAAATGGAAGACAATGTAAGTCTATGAAGATAGATCACCTTCCTCCCTCAGGTCTGTCTCCTACAGTGATGTCAGAGACCTTAAGGGCTCAAATATAGTCATTCCTCAGAATTCATAGAGGATTAGTTCTAGGACACCCTCCGTGGATACCAAAATCCACAGATGCTCAAGTTCTTTATATTAAATGGTGTGATATTTGTATATAACCTATGCACAGCCTGCCATATACTTTAAATCATCTGCATTACTTATAATAACTAATACAATATAAGTGCTATGTAAATTGTTGTTATACTGTATTGTTTAGGGAGTAATGACAAGAAAAAAGCCTGTACACGTTCAATACTGATACAACCATCCTTTAAAAAAATAATTTTTTTTTGAGACAGAGTCTCGCTCTTGTCGCCCAGGCTAGAGTGCAATGATGCGATCTCGGCTCACTGCAACCTCTACCACCTGGGTTCAAGTGATTCTCTAGCCTTCCAGGTAGCTGGGATTACAGGGGCTCGCCACCACACCTGGCTAATTTTTGTATTTTTAGTAGAGATGGGGTTTCAACATATTGGCCAGGCTGGTCTCAAACTCCTGACCTCAGGTGATCCACCCACCTCTCTCTCCCAAAGTGTTGGGATTACAGGCAAGAGCCACCATGTCCAGCCTAAAAAAAATTTTTTGATCCACAGTTGCTTGAATCCACAGATGCAGACGCCAAAGATATGAAGGGCTGCTGTACTAAAAAACACAAACAGATAAACACCCATAATTTTGTAATGTTTAGAAAAGTGAAAACATAAGGAAAAGTACAAGTCCCCTCTGTCCTATCCAATCCCAATCACGGAAATAACCACTTTTAACAGCGTGCCCCTGAATGGTCTTGCATGGCTCTCCACTGTCCAGCCCCATACATATTAATGTCAGCATATCTATATGTGTGTAAACATACTCATCTATATAGAAATATAAAATGTTTTAATGGATTAATGCTCAATCTTTTGATCTATGAATAGCTTTTTCATTTGTGGTATATCATTATGGTAGGCAGAATTCTTATATAGTCTTCAATATCCCTAGACCCTAGTGTACCTATACTTTCTCCCACTTATTCAATCAAACATGAATCCAGATGTTAATGTAAAGAAATTCTGCAGATATAGTTAAGGTCCCAAATAAGTTCCACTAAAAATAGGGAGACAATTACATAAACTCTTTAAATTTGGGTGTAGAGGTCAGAGACAGAGGAATTCACAGATTCAAAGCATAAGAAGGATTTGACACAGTATTCTGGCTTAAAGGTAGAGGTAGACATGTGACAAGGAATACCACTGGCCTCAAGGAGCTGAAAGCAGTCCCGTAGCCTTGTAGTATAGTTTGAAGTCAGGTAGCATGATGCCTCCTGCTTTGTTCTTTTTGCTTAGCGTTGTCTTGGCAATGCGGGCTCTTTTTTGGTTCCACATAAACTTTAAAGTAGTTTTTTCCAGTTCTGCAAAGAAAGTCATTGGTAGCTTGATGGGGATGGCATTGAATCTATAAATTACCTTGGGCAGTATGGCCATTTTCACGATATTGATTCTACTAGTACCAAAACAGAGATATAGACCAATGAAACAGAACAGAGCCCTCAGAAATAATACCACACATCTACAACCATCTGATCTTTGACAAACCTGATAAAAACAAGAAATGGGGTAAGGATTCCCTATTTAATAAATGGTGCTGGGAAAACTGGCTAGCCATGTGTAGAAAGCTGAAACTGGATCCCTTCCTTACACCTCATACAAAAATTAATTCAAGATGGATTAAAGACTTAAATGTTAGACCTAAAACCATAAAAACCCTAGAAGAAAACCTAGGCAATACCATTCAGGACATAGGTATGGGCAAGGACTTCATGACTAAAACACCAAAAGCAATGGCAACAAAAGCCAAAATTGACTAATGGGATCTAATTAAACTAAAGAGCTTCTGCACAGCAAAAGAAACTACCATCAGAGTGAACAGGCAACCTTCAGAATGGGAGAAAATTTTCACAATCTACCCATCCGACAAGGGCTAATGTCCAGAATCTACAAAGAACTTAAACAAATTTACAAGAATAAATCAAACAACCCCATCAAAAAGTGGGCGAAGGATATGAACAGACACTTCTCAAAAGAAGACATTTACACAGCCAACAGACACATGAAAAAATGCTCATCATCACTGGCCATCAGAGAAATGCAAATCAAAACCACAATGAGATACCATCTCACACCAGTTAGAATGGCGATCATTAAAAAGTCAAGAAACAACAGGTACTGGAGAGGATGTGGAGAAATAGGAACACTTTTACACTGTTGGTGGGACTGTAAACTAGTTCAACCATTGTGGAAATCAGTGTGGCGATTCCTCAGGGATCTAGAACTAGAAATACCATTTGACCCAGCCATCCCACTACTGGGTACACACCCAAAGGGTTAAAAATCATGCTGCTATAAAGACACATGCACACGTATGTTTATTGAGCACTATTCACAATAGCAAAGACTTGGAAACAACCCAAAATGTCCATCAATGATAGAATGGATTAAGAAAATGTGGCACATATACACCATGGAATACTATGCAGCCATAAAAAAGGATGAGTTCATGTACTTTGTAGGGACACGGATGAAGCTGGAAACCATCATTCTGAGCAAATTATTGCAAGGACAGAAAACCAAACACCGCATGTTCTCACTCATAGGTGGGAATTGAACAATGAGAACACTTGGACACAGGGTGGGGAACATCACACACAGGAGCCTGTCGTGGGGTTGGGGGAGGGATAGCATTAGGAGATATACCTAATGTAAATGACGAGTTAATGGGTGCAGCACACAAACATGGCACATGTATACATATGTAACAAACCTGCACATTGTGCATATATACCGTAGAACTTAAAGTATAATAAAAACAAAACAAAACAAAAAAAGCAGTCCCTAGTTGACAACCAGCAATGAAACAGGAACTTCGGCCTCCAACCACAAGGAGCTGAATTCTGCCAACAAGAAGAATGAGATTGGAACCTGATTTTTCCCTCAGAGCTTCCAGATAAGAACTCAGTCCAACTGATGCTTTGACTTTAGCTTGGTGATGCCCTGAGCAGAGAATCCAGTCCACTTCCATGCCAGATGTCTGAGCTACAGAGACATAGGCTAATGATTAGGTGTTATCTTATGTTTCTAAACTTGTGGTAATTTGTTACACAAGAATAAAAAGCTAATACAATAATATACAGCTTTCCAAGCCAATGAAAATAAGTGTTCCTACTTCTTTTGCATAATATTACATTTTTTGCTATTATTTTGATGTAGCAAAATATATTCAAACATATTCCTCTTTATAGAAATTCATCTGGCTCCTACTTCTTGTTATTGTCAAACAACCCATCAACAAACATCTTTATGCAATTGCCTTACTGTATCTGTGGTATTTTCTGGAAGAAAGATTACTAGAAGAGGGATTATTTTACTAAAGACATACACATTTTTCTTTTTAATAGCTATTATTATCCAGTCAATCTCCAAAAAAAACTGAATTGATTTATACTCCTCTAAACAGACTGCTCATTTCCTCACACCTTCATAGCATGTATTATCAGATGTTAGAAACTGTGCCCAAAAAAAAGGTAATTCATTGTTTAAATCTTCATTTCTGCAGCTATCTAAGAAAATGTTTGCATTTTACTGTTCACTTGTATTGTCATCTGTGGATACCCTGACTAATTTGAGATTAGATTCTTTGCCTCCTGTCATTTTTATGAGGTTCTGCATAATGAAAAGATTCACTCTTTGTCTTTTATAAATGATGCAAATACTTTTGTGAGAGACACACAGAGTACTTTGAAGTATACACAGGGGACAAAGTAGACAGGGCTCAGGTGGTGGAAGACACTGAATACCAGATTAACACACTTGTTGTTTGTCCTATAGGCAGAGTGGAGAAAAAAGCATGGATCTTGATCTAGATTCTAGGTTCAAATCCTGGCTCTGCCACTTAGCGCTATGACCTGGTACAAGTTAATTAACCTTCCTATGCCTCAGTTCTCCCCTCCCTCCCTAAAACGGGGATGATAATGGCATCTGCATCCCAGTGTTGTTGTGAGAAATAAATGACTTAGAATGTGCAAAGAGCTTAGAACAGTGCCTAATACATTGTAAGCAGCAAAAAGCATTCATTTTATTTACTTGCATTACTATCACTTGCATTGTTACATTTTAAAATCTTTTACCATCAATTTTTAAAATTCTTATGTTGTCAAATATATATTTTTCTTAACGACCTGTTTTTCACAACTTGCTTAAGAAAATGTTTCAATATGCCACCCTAATATTTTATTGTATACTTTTCCTTTTTATTCAACATTTTTAATAGTTGATTAAGGTACAATTTACATACAAAAAAAATTCACCCATTTCAGTTTTATGGTTTGATACATTTCAGTAAATTTATACAGTTATACAATCATCACTATAAACCAGTTTTAGAACACTTGCATCACCCCCAAAATTTCCATCATGCCTGTTTGCAGTCACTTTCTGCTGTCTTTCCAGCCCCCAAGAAACCACCCATCTCCATATGTTTGGTGTTTTCTAGAAACTTTGTATAAATGGAATCATACAATATGTCATTTTTTGTGTTTAGCTTCTTTCATTTAGCGTATGTTTTGAGGTTAATCCGTGGGGCTGCACGCATCCGTGGTTCTGTTCTTTTTGTTGCTGAGCAGTGTTTCACTGTATGGATAAGCCACATTTTGTCTATTCACTCACCAGCTGACAGTCATTTAGATTATTTCCAGCTTTGGCTACTCTTTGATGATTAATGCATCTGAAATTTATTTTATTTATGAGGTTTGAGGTAGGGATCTATTTTTTTTTCTAAATGTGTATCAATCCTTTCATCACTATTTAATGAATAACAGTAACTCCACTGATTTTAATTAGTACTTTTATCACACATTAACTTTCTATTTATCCTTGGATCTATTTTGGGACTCCCTCTTGAAGTCCACCGATTATTTGTCTGTTTTCATCATAGTGGTTTTATGCTACGTTTTATTTTTATTTTATTTATTTGTTTACTTATGAGACAGAGTCTCATTCTGTCACCCAGGCTGGAGTGCAGTGGCATGATCTCAGCTCACTGTAACCTCTGTCTCCTGAGTTCAAGTGATTCTCATGCCTCAGCCTCCCCAGTAGCTGGGACTATAGGCATGCACCACCACGCTCAGCTAATTTTTGCATTTTTAGTAGAGATGGGGTTTCACTATGTTGGCTAGGCTGGTCTCAAACTCCTGGCCTCAAGTGATCTGCCTGCCTTGGTCTCCCAAGTGCTGAGATTACAGGCATGAGCCACTGCCCAACCTATGCTATATTTTAATATCTGGTACAGTAATTATCATTTCGTTATTCTTCTTTATCAAAATTTTCTCAGCCATTTCCACACATTTATTATCTGATATGAAATTTAAAATAAAATTGTCAGCTCCCCACCTTTCCAAAAAGATAACATTATGATTCTTATCAGAATTATATTAAATATTTTGGTTGGTTTTGGAGGGATTTTTATATTTATGATGTTAATCTTCCATCCAGGAACATGGCACGTCCTTTCATATATTACTTTGGGAACATTTAATCCTTCTGTAAAAGTTTAAAGTTTCCTTCATGTAGATATTACATTTCTTATAATTTATCCCTTGGTAATTTGTAGTTTTGTCAATTTTTATTTCATTTTATTTCCTAAATCATTTTTGAGAATGGAAAAGGGAAAATTATTTTTGTGTATTCATCTTTTTTCCAGACAAATTTTCTAATTAGTTATAATAATTTTTCACTTAGACACTTAGATTATCCAGATATAAGATGATGTAAGAAGCATACAGTGATAATTTTATTCTCTTTTCATATTTAAATCAGCTTTAAATTATTTATTTGACAAATAATAAGTGGATATATTTATAGTCAAATCATTTATTTTCATGGTCGTATTTAGTTGGAAACTTCAAAATTTTGTCAAATGATGCCATGATAACAAGTATTCATACCTTATTCAGAACTTGAATGGGAATGTCTTCTATCTTTCAATGTAATGCTTGCTATTGATTTCCAATGTTTCTTAATCCTCTCTATGAAGTATTCTTCTATTCTTATTTCACTTCATGTTTTTATCAAAAATCATTGCTGAATATTAGCAAATTCTCTTCTGTTATCTAGTGGCTTAGCTATATAATTTTTTCTCTAAATTGTTAATGCAATTATTTGGCTAGACAGATTTCCCAATGCTAAGCTACTGTGTGAAGCTTAAAATAACCCCTTTTGGGTAGAGCAGAGCTTCACTGTGTAGGTAATCTGACTATCCAGAGATTCACTTCCAACCCTATCTCCAAATACCTAGTAAATCATTTGTAAAAGACCGAACATTATATCCAAGAGCTAAGCATGGCTCTTCCGCTAAGCCCAGAAAGGAAGCCAAGCTGCAGGACAGAGAAGCTGAGGTGGTGGGGAGCTTGGCAAATCAGCATCAAGTCAAAATGCTAAAGTAGCTGAGCTCTCTAAAGCAAAGTAAGGCAGCAGCTCCTCAACATGCTCTTGGAGACTGATTTCTAGTGCTCTTGATGAAAAGGGCTACTTTTCATCTACTCAGCCTCATCACGCCCGGCCACCCTGTCTCCCAAGCCCAAACTGCCTTTAAGCAGCCTCATTTCATTCTTTCCTACATTAGCACAACCAGGACTGCCTACAACCTTATTAGAGTACCTTGAACTAAATTTGCAAAAGGGCAAACTGGTTAGAAAAGTTACCCCTCTAAGGAGACTCAGCTCCAACGATACACAGCCTAGAGATTGGGGGTAACATTGTGCAAAATTTTTTAGAAAGAAGGAAGAGAGGAAAGAACAAAGGGAGGGAGGAGACAGGGAGCAAGAGAGAGAGACAGTGAGGCAGAGAGAGAAAAAAGAGGAGAAGAGAGGAGAGGAGAGGAGAGGAGAGGAGAGAAGAGAAGAGAAGAGAAGAGAAGAGAAGAGAAGAGAAGAGAAGAGAAGAGAAGAGAAGAGAAGAGGGAAAATAAAAGAAAAGGCCACCCTTTCTCTAGGCCTTAATCAGCACCCCCTCCCCTACCCCACTAGCCCAACAAGACAGGCACTCTTGTCACTAACTACAAAGCCACATCATGTACACTGACTACAACAGCATCCTAACTGGTCACTCCGCTTCCTGGATTGTTCCCCTCTAATCCTTCGTTTGTGCTACTCCAAAGTGAGCTCTCTGCAAAACAAATAAATAAAACCACATATTGCCTCATTCATTCATTCAAGGGTCCCCCATCACCTTGTAATCCCCCTAGCCCAGATTAGAGAATAAAATTTGGATGACAAGAGTTAAGTAACTTGCCCAAAGTCACACATCTAGGAAGGGGAAGAACAAGTGCTGAAACCCATGTCTTGCCAGAGAGAGAACTTATTATTGAGACAACAGCACCAAGACACCCAACAAGGGCAGAGCCCTCTTGACCCAAACACCTCTCATTAGGCCCCATCTCCCAACACCATCACATTGGGAGTCAAATTTCAACATGAGCTTTGGTGAGGACCAACGAACCATATCCAAACCACAGCAACAGGTAAACAAACTGAGGACAAGAGAGGGAAGCCCATAGGCCCATGGACATACAGAGGTCAGAACAAAATGGGGACTCAACCAAATCCCCTGAATCCAAAACCAGTGCTCCCCACCTGCATTCCTGGAACCAGACAGACCTAGAAGGTCAGAGGGAACTCTCTAGGTGGAGCTAAGAAATCTCCTGGTCTGTGGGAGGCACACAGAGTATTTTGAAGTATACACAAAGGACAAAGTAGACAGGGCTCAGGTGGTGGAAGACACTGAATGCCAGACTAATACACTTGTTCTTTGTCCTATAGGCAGAGTGGAGAAAAAAGCACGGATCTTGATCTAGATTCTAGGTTCAAATCCTGGCTCTGCCACTTAGCACTATGACCTGGTACAAGTTAATTAACCTCCCTATGCCTCAGTTCTCCCCTCCCTCTCTAAAACAGGGATGATAATGGCATCTGCATCACAGTGTTGTTGTGAGAAATAAATGACTTAGAATGTGCAAAGAGCTTAAAACAGTGCCTAACATATTGTAAGCAGCAAAAGCATTTGTTTCATTATTTTTTATCGAGAGAGCATCACAAAGAAGGCTATGTTTTAAGATTGTTACTCTGGCCAAAATTATCCTACAGCCAGGAAGAAATGAGGGAAATGTTAACATTTCCTCTTGTGGGGGATGGGCAGGTAGAGAAGAGAAGGAAAAAGAGGAACAAAGCAGCTGGGTCTCCCATGGGGCTTTGAACCCATCCTTCTGTTGATCTAGGACACCTCCCTTGATTTCACACCTTTTTCTTGGAGCCTCACAGAGATTATCTAAGACAGAAACCATTCCTTCCCTGTGCATCCCAAGTGATTTGACTCCCAATCACTCCAGGACATGCTTCCCGGAAGGTTCTGCAGACTTTGACGAGTAGAAATGGGAAAAAGGTAAAAATCCTTCCCAAATCCTACTTTGCATTTCCAAGCTCAGCTTCCCCCTCTTTAACCTGCTCCCATGATTTCAGTGTTTGATACGCACAGGGCCTTAACCATTCCCTGACTGACTTAGTCTACAGCTGGGAGTCAAATGCAGCTATAGAGAGCCCTGGGCAGCAAGCAATGAGCTTGCGCCTACACATCTGTTTATCTGAGGCTTTACTTTCTGAATAAAGCATCTGTCCCGACACTTTACGTAAAAACAAAAATTGCAATTAGCAGCCCACAAAAAGGAGGTAGATTGTTCTCCATGTGGTTTATAAGCCAGAGAAGTTTATGCCTGAGAACAATGGGTTGCAAAGATACTGCACCCTGGAGGTTTTCCAGGAAGTGATCAAGGCAGGTGATATTGAGTTACTCTGGGGATTTTGGTTTTCACTCTAAATTGATAGAAAATGATTTGTCTGAGTTTGTTTTCAACTAGAGATTTCCAGAAAGGGATGAATGCTTGACCCTGTATGTATGTTTAAGCCAGGCCAATGGCCATGAAGGCTGGCAGCCTAGAGCTATTAGCATGGGTCTCTCCTGCGCAGCTTCCCATCACTAACCTGCTCCCAGGCTGCTGGACTTTCTCCCATTACCATACCCTTGGCTTCAGCTCCTGATTCCTACCTGCCATTTTGTTTAAGGCTAGAGCTTGATTTTTCTGAGCTTTCACGAATCTGGTGCTTAAAATGTTTTCGGTTGGCTGAGTCACACCTCTCCGACACTGGAATTCCCCAAATCTCTTATTAGCCTTTTTGAGGTGCACGTGTTCATCAAGTGGCCCTGCACAAGAGAACCCATCTCTCAGAAGTCCGTGGAGTCACACTGGGCCTCTTGTCCCACTCTAGGGAAGGAAGGAAAGAAGCCTATCTATACCCTTTCCTTACAATTTGGCACAGAGAATGCAAGCTTACTGAGGCATTTCTTTTCCTAAATGTCTACTTTTAAGTCCCTGGGTCTTGAAGTCAAGTCCCTATGAGACATTCATCCCCAAGCCCCAGCCTGGAGTGATCTGGAAGCTCCTCTGACACGAACATAAAACACTTTTCCATTCCTTGTTTCTGCTTGACCTTCTTGCTTCTCTCCAACCAAACCCCTCTGCCTGAAATTTATTTCTATATCAGCTCATCAGAATATCAATGTCTGGGCCCATGATTTCTTGGAAAGAGAGAATATGGTGTTGAGAGTCACGGTAAATGTAAGTCTACAGAGTGGCCACGTGGGTTTCAGGGACTCTTAAAATGCATGAGGTTCCACTGAGTCCAGACAACTATCTACCTTAACGGTCTGGAACAATGACCACCCACATAAGATCAAAAACCTGAGATCTGATCCTTCTAGTTTTGTCAAATGGCTCAGATTATTTTAAGCTTCCTCTTTAGATAAAATGCAGTTTGACTCACCAGTTTTTTTTCTTTTCATAAAGGCTACTGTGAGGGAGTAGGGCATCCTCCTGCAACAAGCAGCGGAGAGAGAAATCAGTCCCCAGCCCTGACCCTCGGATCTCTGGTAAAACACTCAGTCATGAGACACGAGACCTCTGGCCACATGCCCTGATCCATGGACTCAGACAGAAAGTCCTCTCCTGCATCTTGGGGTCCAGAAGAGGCCAGGAAGCAAAATCTATACAAGGAATGCTGGTTTCTTGCCCCAGGATCTAGGTAAACATTGAATAAAATTATTTAATCTGCCATTTAAGCAAGAAGTATTTCTAAAGCCACATGCTGGTGACCAGGCAGAGAAGATGGCTAAGCTGGGAAAGAACTGGTGTGTCAGTACCACGTCCATCTACAGTTAATACTCACTGGCATAGGATCCTGAAACACAAGTGGTCTGCTCTTGACTCTGCAGAAAAGGATTCCATTCCTTACACCTTCTTCCTCCCCTGCAGGTTACTCCTCCTACCTTAACCACGCCCTTCCCTTTCCCCATTTTGCTCCAGGGCTCCTGCCTTCTATTTTCTATGGCTTCTCTTGGATAGTGAAAGGTGGAGCTGGAAGGAGAGTTGTCCATGAGTGGGAAGAATCAGAGTCCCAGGGATGGGGCCAGAAGCGGTACTTTGGGATATTCAGGAGTTTGAGGAAAGGGACTCATCAATAACAAAAAATCAGTAATAGGCACAGAAAGGCAGAGACCTCAGTCCACTCGTTTACTGAGTCATCAGTAAACAAGTTTACTTGTTTACTCAGTCATCCTGCTCACAGGCACCTCCCCAAGGAACCATGCTCTTGGGTACTGCAAACCTGGGTGGCTTAAAACAACAGAAATTTCCTCTCTCACATTTCTGGACCCTAGAAGTCAAAATCAAGATGTCAGCAGGGCCATCTCCCTCCAAAGGAACAATCTTGCCTTGCCTCTTCCTGTGGACAGCCCATACCTTGCAGCTTCATTGCTCCAATCTCTACTTCTGTCATCACGTGGCCATCTTCCCTCTGTGTGTGTCTCTGTATTCAAATTTTCCTTTTCTTATAAGGACACCAGTCATTGGAATAGGGCCCACTCTAATCCACTATGACCTCAAATTAACTTGGTTACGTCTGCAAAAACCCCGTATCTAAATAAGGTCATATTCATCCCACAGCAGGAGGACATGGACAGACGCTGAGATCAATACCTGACGCTACACAGCCAAGTGGGGTCCAGGCTTCTGCCCATCCTGTGTCCCTCCCTGCTCCTTCCACAATCTGCCTGTCTAATATTCCATTTCTGTCACTTAATCTTAGTATCTCCTGGACCCCTGACCCTAAGCCTTCCTGGCCAACCATGTTTTTGTGCTACCATGTCTAGTGCCTGGCACTGCATCCGGCACATAGTAGGCCTACAAAAAGATGAATGCATGACATCCAAATAGTCTCTTTCCAGAGATGAGACCAGTGGCCCTAAACTGGTCTATAAAAAAGTATCTTTATATTACTTTATAATATAATTTTATAATATAATTTATATTTATAATCTATAATATAATTTTATAATATAAATTAATATCAAATATTAATATATTGATATAAAATAATTTATATTATAAATTAACATTTATACTATAAAATAATATAAAGAGACCCTTACAAAAGAGTCTCTTTACATTATTCTATAGTCTTTTTCCAGAGATGAGAACAGTGGCCCTATAACTGTCTCTTGGGAGCTAGGATTAGAGAAGCTGTGTCTCCCTTAGTTGGGATGTCCCCCCTCAGACCACAGGAGACTAGAGAAACCTCAGACACACCTCAGCATGGCCTGCCTACATTTGCAGAGAGGCTGTGTCTTGACTCTTGGCAGATGTTGTGTTACTGTCCCCTGCCCCTGCCCCTGCCCCTGCCCTCACATAATTCTTTGACCCTTGTCTCCAGCCTGACTTTACCACTTGACACAATAGGAACTGACCCTCAGCAGTCAGCTTGACTTCCCCCTCCTGGTCCATTTGGATGGACATCCTTTGTGACCCAGATGTGACCTCTAAAATCCACCCAGGCACCGGCCCTTGGCAGGTGCATGACACAAGCTTATCTCAGCATCAGAGCTCAGAGCTGTGGAAAACTGTCTATGACAGACATGGAGCTAACAGTTTTCCATGAATCAGCTTATTAAATCCTCAAAGCAATCATACGAGGTAATAACAACTACTATCCCCATGAGGGATGGGGAAATTGAGCCTTGGGGAAGCTAAATGCCTGCCCCAAGGTCACAGACCTAAAACGTGGTGGCACCTGATTCCATCCTGAGCCTGTGGCCGAGCAGCCAGAGCTCCCGAGATGCAATGCTAGTTTCCCAAGGGTGGGACACACAGTGACGCTGGCACCAGAGATGATGTGACGTGGTCCAATAGTGAATCCTGCTGCTATGGTTCGAATGTATTTGTCCCCCCAAAAGTCATACGTTGGAACTTAACCCCTAAGATGATAGTATTAAGAGGTGGAGGTGAAGTAAGTAAGTCACGAGGGCTCCACCTTGTGAATGGGATTAATGCTCTTCTAAAAGAGGCTTCAGAGAGCTGCCTGATCCCTCCATCTCCCCTGCCATATAAGGACAGAGCATTCATCCCTTTAGCCCTTCTGCATGTCAGGGCAGAGTTCACCATTTCCATCACATGAGAACCCAGCACCATCTTGGAAGGCACCAACTAGGAGGCAGAGATTCCCCCTCCAGACACGAATCTGCTGACACCATGATCATGGACTCCTCAGCCTCCAGAACTGTGAGAAATAGATTTCTATTGTTTGTAAATTGCCCGGTCTCAGGTATTTTGTTATGGCAGTACAAAATGGACTAAGATACATGGTATGAGTCTCCTCTTTTAACTCTTTTATCTATCTAATCATGGAGAAAGTCTTAGTTGGTGCTGTGGGATGAAAGGAAGCTCAGAAAGAAAACCTCTTTCCTTTCTGTTTCCTTTCTGACCTTTGCTAATATCTTCCTCACCCCACATTCCCTTTTTTAAAGGTAACACAAGCCAAACTTACACAATTTGACAAGCAATAGATGATAAAAAGAAGTGATACCAGGTATCATTTAATTTCTTTCCTATGGTTACTTTGAATATATGAAAGCAATACTGTTTTTCCTGTTATGGCAGTGATTAAAAGCTTTACTTTGTAATGCATCTATTTAAGGACAAGATGTAAATTCACTTCTTAAAAATTAAGTAAATAATAATACATGTTCCCTCATATGGAAAAAGATCAGGAAAGTGAAGCCCAAGAGACTCAAAGGTGGGAACAGTGCCCTGTGTTATGCCACCTCTCAAGGCTGGGAAATCCCAGCTGCGATATCAGCAAAGCTGGCAGCTCCCACCCAGCTCCTCCAAACACCATTAACCATGTGTGTTCATAGAGAATAGCTGTGAGTTCTCACAAGTTTTACAAAAATCTATTCACAAGTTCTGGAAAAAACAAAGAACATTGACTCATTCTCTCGCAAAGAGCCTCAACGATTTTTTTAAAGAGTAAAAACTGGGCAACCCGCTTGGGTCCCCTTCCACACTGTGGAAGCTTTGCTCTTTTGCTCTTTGCAATAAATCTTGCTGCTGCTCACTCTTTGGCAAAAAAAAAAAAAAAGAGTAAAAATTAACTCAGATTGACAAAATAAACATTTGTCCTGACATTCATCAGGCTGGGATAACAGACATAGATAAAGCTACTTGCAAAGTATACCAGGAAATGATATTTCTACCAAGGACACACCACACATAATAACCTTCTTTGAGTAACTACTGTTTTCTTGCATCCTGAAAAGCCTTGATATCTAAAATCAGTGACTATCAGAAACTTCACTGTTGGAAATTGTATGAGTAGGAATGAACCATCTCACTCTTGCCTGGAAGACCTAAGTCACTTTGACACAGAGAAGCAGCTTTGATTTCCAGCCCAGATACAAAGCTTCATATAAGGGGTTTCTGACGAAAACACTCACATTTACCTTAACCTTGTCATTTCCAAGGAAATGGGAGCCTGGGTTCAATTTACAGTCCAGACCCCTCTATACCCAGCACTGCTTTGCTTTTAAGCTTTATTTTCATTTTACCTAAATTTTAGCCTTCTTGAAAACTGTAGAATAATTCTATCTTTCCCTGTGTTTGGTGAGATGTCCAATGGCCCTTCAGGCATGCAGCCTCCATCATGAAAATGGATCAATAAATCTGACTTTCTTGGGCTGTAGATTGGTCCTTAGTGGTCTCAGGCTGATTAGGCTAAAGTGGTTTATATTTAACTTTTGTTATTCAGGCTTTTGGAGGTACTCTTTATCTTTCAAAATAAACAAGCAAATAAATCACAACAGGCTCCCTGGGGATATTATGACCAAATTATAAAGCTGCAGTTTAACTTTTCTATGGAAGCCACCTGGTAATTTGACTCAATTTTTCTGTGTAACCATTAATGACATGGTTTTTCTCTTCAGATGGTTGTGCTTTTGTTTTGTTTCAATGGGGAGTTTTGGCCCTGATCAGTTTTGTGAATAGACACACAGGCTTGAATGTGCACACATGTGCTTAACTGTTAGTCTTCCATCTCAGCACAGGGCAGAGCTCCACGCTCATGGTGAGGCAGCTCCATGGTCAAAGCCCACAGGCTCTCACCTAAATCATCTTGACTGAGGATCATCTGGATGAAAAGGAACCCATGCCCCCTCCCAGGCTACACGCGTAAGGGGGTTTCTTTCATCATAATCATATGAGTCTCCTAGGCAAGGGGAGGAAAGTCTAGCCCAGGAGCAGAGGGGTGGGGGTGCAGAATTCAAAACTCCTTCCCCATGGAGCCATCTGTTCTCTTGTCTCTGCTTCCTCACAAGCATCTGCCTGCTCTCTGCTCACTACAAGCTCCTCTGCACCCATATCTAAGGCTCAGACATGATTTTGTGGCATGATTTGCCACAGTATGACTATTTCAGTCTCTCAGAGCCTCAGAACTAAATTCCCAGGACAGAAAATATGATGGAATTCGTTTCCTTACAATTTGTGCCCACCCATCTGCTTATGGAAGCAGACACTGGGGCAGAAATATGGACAGCTGGTCCTCCTCCCAGCAGGAGCTAGGGATCAGGAGCAAGTCCAAAGAAGAAGAGGGGCATTCACAAACAAATCCAAGTGTGTATTAATTTTAATAACAGAAGGACAAAAGAGAGCCAAGTTTTATTTGCAACTTATGTTTTTCCAACACAGATATTAGCAGCTACCTGAAAGTTAATAATTCAGGAGGAAATATCAATACCTCAAGAATATGGTTCAGCCCAGCATGAGCTGACTTGATTGACTCAGGAATATGACACCAAACCCTACCAACAGCTGTATACACCTGACCAAAGAGTGATAGAGAGACAGACAGAAGCCGGGCGTGGTGGCTCACGTCTGTAATCCCAGCACTTTGGGAGGCCGAGGCAGGTGGATCACCTGAGGTCAGGAGTTCGAGACCAGCCTGGCCAACATGGCAAAACACCATCTCTTCTAAAAAAAATACAAAAAATTGGCTGGGCGTGGTGGTGGGCACCTGGATCCCAGCTGCTTGGGAGGCTGAGGCAGGAGAATCACTTGAACCTGGAAGGTGGAGGTTGCAGTAGCCAAGATCGCACCATTGCACTCCAGCCTGGGTGACAGAGTGAGACTCTGTCAAAAAATAAACAAATAAAGAGAGACAGACAGAAAGACAGAGACAGAAAGAGAGGATATCAGAGGGTCAGCGCTACATACTCCCATCAGAAGAACTTTCTGCCACTGGCCTGGACGTGAGTCAGCACAAGAAGTGGCATATAATTATACCATTATTAATTTCTATGACACATTTGAAAGGTCATCTTCTTGGGAGGGAACCAGCAAGTATCATGGAACAGGTACCAGTTTTATTGTCAGGCTTCCCTGGGTTCTATGCTGATGTTTGAAGCTGGATGACTTGGGCAAATCCTTCCCTGAGCCTCAGCTTTCTCACATGAGGACAACAGATAGCACCACCTTGGCCAAGGTTGAATTTGAAAGCTACATAAGACAATGGGATCTGCCCTCCCTTTAAGTGCCAAACCATGTCCAAGATGGAGAGACTAAGAGCGTGGCTCCCAGTGATTCAGGTTGTAAAGTCTACAGTTCAATTACTTCAGATTCTCCTCACAAGATCCTCATTCTTTCTTTGGTAGGTTGTGCCCACAGAAAATGTCCTAAGAACTCAAGTTTCTCTTCTGAGATAAAGTCCTACAGGTCAAAACATCTGAGACTTAGAATCAATCACCAGCTCTTAATTTTTTAAAAGATCAAGAAGCATTTACGGATCACCCAACTGTTTTACTATACCCTGTGGGGTGGATCCTGTCAGCTGGGGCCACCGATACCATCAGTGCCCACTCCTATCCCCTCATCTTACTACTAAAGAGCAACCTTCAGACTTCCGATGGCCAGCACCTGCATTGCTTTGCCTGCAGGCATCCTCAGGCCAAAGCCCATCTGCCAGGTCGTGAGCAGGACAGAGTAACAGGGATTTCAATCCCCAGCAGCCCTCAACCAATGATTGGTAAAAGTGAGATAGGACCAGTCTATATTTTTCAATAGATCTTGAAGTCAATCCACCAGGATTAAGAGCTGGCTGCCCATGGTGGTAGCCAAATTGACAAATGCCCTCTGTCCTGGTCAATGCGATTAGTCCATGGGGTGCCCAGATATTTGGTTAAATATTATTCTGGATGTGTCTGTGATGGTGTTTCTGGATGAGATTAACATTTGAATTAGTGGACTGAGTAAAGCAGAAGGCTCCCTCCCAATGTGGGTAGGATTTATCCAGTTCATTGAAGGCCTGAATACAACAAAGGCTAGGTAAGAAAGAATTCTCTCTGCCTGACTGTCTTTGAGCTGGGACATCAGTCTTCTGCCTTCAGATGTGGACTCAGACTGGACCTTACACCATCAGCTCTCCTGGGTCTCCAGCTTGCCAACTGCAGATCTTGGATTTCTCAGCCTGCAAAATCATGTGAATCAATTCTTCATATATATAATATATGTGTATATTTTATATAAATATTCCCTATTGACTGTGTTTCTTCAGGGAACCCGGGCTATATACGTGGCTTCTCCTTTTCATCTCACTTTCCCATGACTTTACCAGGCTTTACTTCACACTCAGACAAACCACTTGCTTTTGAAGCCCTGTTTCAGGATCTGCTTCTGGGGGAACCCAGACTAAGATGGGCTAACCCAACAGCACGCCTCATCGCTTCTCACTTGCTGTCTCCCCACATTGAGGCTGGAAACCCAATGTTGGCTTTTCCTGCTTCCTGTGCTATATGACCCAATCTTGGTCAAAGATACATTTTTAAAAGTCTCAGAGAGGCAGAGGGGCTCTAAAATGCTACTTCATTTCTTGTTAAAAGGGAACAGGCCAGGCACAGTGGCTTATGTCTGTAATCCCAGCACTTTGGGAGGCCAAGGCAGGCAGATCATGAGGTCAGGAGTTTGAGACCAGCCTGACCAACATGGTGAAACCCCGTCTCTACTAAAAATACAAAAATTAGCCAGGCGTGGTGGCACACACCTGTCATCCCAGCTACTTGGAAGGCTGAGACAGAAGAATTGCTTGAACCCGGGAGGCGGAAGTTGCAGTGAGCCGAGATTGCACCACTGCACTCCAGCCTGGGCGACAGAGCAAGACTCCATCTCAAAAAAAAAAAAAAAAAAAAAAAAAAAAAAAAAGTTGGGGGGGGTGCGGGGTGGGGAACAAACAGAAAACTGTTGTTTCTTCCATCCTTTTTCCTGTCTTAAATGCTGCAATGATACCTGGAGTTTCACCATCTTACAATCATAAGGAATTAATATCCCCTAAAGTCCTGTAACATCTGCCATCCCTGATAAGACCAGCCCCAATATCTAATTGTTTCCTCCTAGGCACTAGACCTATAATATTTTAAGATATTAACTCTCCCTTCCCGGATTCAGGCAAGTAATGAGTCTTGCATGTTTGATATCCAGCAGACGTTTAGGCAGAGCAGAAAATAAATTACCTGAAACTGTCTCTGACTTGTGTGTTCCAAAAGCCTATGGCCTTCGGGAATGAGAGATTCTAGGGATGGACTGAGTGCCTTAAAGAGCAGAAAAGGGAAGTTGATCTCACTCAGACTAAAAAGAGATTCCCCTGGGCTGGGGAAGGAGCACAGAAGCAAAGAATGGATAGAGGTCTCTGAAAGCAGGAAAAAATCCTGCTGTCCCTCATGGCCTGCTTGTCTGTGGCACTGGCACTGAAATGACACGACCCAAGAGGGGAGTGGCTGCATGGCACATCTGGGCAAGCTGGAACACCAGCATCTCTGCAGAGATTTGCATCCACCCCACATCTCAGGGAGCTCCAGAGGACTCCCAGGTCAGAAGGACCTGCAGGAAGGGATAGTGTAATTCTAGGTGGTAGGCTTTGAGGACTGGCAAGCCAACACTCTGCCAACATGGTTGAGAAATTCTGGCTGATACGTTCACATTCCTTTAGGGACACAGACATGTGAAGAGTTTAAGGCTAAAAATCAAATAAGACAAATTCATTTTTTTGGTCTTTCAATAAATATGAGTTCCTATTGTTACTAGGCACTGGAGACATAAATAAGACATCATCTCTGCTCTCAAGGATCTTAGTCTAATGGGATAAATGCTTACAGCCAACGTGTAGGCTCATGAATTGAGTTATATGGCTCAGAAGCTTTGCAAACATTGCATGAGTCACTCTTGATCAAAGGAGGCATTCTGTGCACCATTTATGAATGAGCAAACAAGACACAGAGAGGTTAAGTGACTTACCAAAAATCACACAGTCACTATAGTGTGGTGTTCAGATTCAGACTGTGGTCTGACTAATGTCATTGGACAGGTTCCTTCCACTTTGTTCACTGTTTTCCAATGCCCATAGAGAGCCCAGAGGGAGTCTGTGGATGACTTTTTATACTGTAGTCCCTGGTAGAGTTTACCCAGTAGAATTAGTGGTGTCAAAAAAATAAAATATACCTAACTAGAGAGGTGAAAGATCTCTACAAGGAAAACTACAAATACTACTCAGAGAAATCAGAGATGACACAAACCTAAATGAAAAAACATTTTATCCTCATGGATAGGAAAAATCAATATCATTAAAATGGCCACACTGCCCAAAGCAATTTATAGATTCAATGCTATTCCTATTAAACTACCGTTGACATTCTTCACAAAACTCGAAAAATTTTTTAAATTTATATAGAATTTAAAAAGAGCCCAAATAGCCAAGTCAATCCTAAGCAAAAAGAACAAAGCCACAGGCATCATGCTACCTAACTTCAAACCATACTACAAGGCTACAGTAACCAAAACAGCATGGTACTGGTTCATAAAGAGAGCCAGAAATAAGACCGCACACCTATAACTATCTGATCTTCAACAAACGTGATAAAAACAAGCAATGCGGAATGGATTCAATAAATGGTGCTGGGATAACTGGCTAGCCATATGCAGAAGATTGAAACTGGATCCCTTCCTTACACCATATACAAAAATTAACTCAAGGTGTATTAAAGATGTAAATGTAAACCTCAAAATTATAGAAAACTCTGGAAGACAACCTAGGCAATACCAGTCTGGACAAAGGAATGGGCAAAGATTCTATGATGAAGACACCAAAAGCAATGGCAACAAAAGCAAAAGGTGACAAATGGCACCTATTAAACTAAAGAGCTTCTGCACAGCAAAGGAAACTATCAACAGAATGAACAGACAACCTACAGAATGGGAGAAAATGTTTGCAAACTATCCATCTGACTAAGGTCTAATATCCAGCATCTATAAGGAACTTAAATTTATAAGAAAAAAACAACGTCATTAAAAAGTGGGCAAAGGACATCAACAGAGACTTTTCGAAAGAAGACATAAATGCAGCCAAAAATCATGTGTAAAAAAGCTCAGCATCATTGATCATTAGAGAAATACAAATCAAAACCACAATGAGATATCATCTCATACCAGTCAGAATGGCTATTACTAAAAAGTCAAAAAATAACAGATACTGCTGAGGTTGTAGAGAAAAAGGAATGCTTATACACTGTTGATGGGAATGTAAATTATTTAAACCATTGTGAAAGACAGTATGACAATTCCTCAAAGACCTAAAAACAAGAATACCATTCAACCCAGCAATCTCATTACTGGGTATATACCCAAAGGAATATAAAGCATTCTATTATAAAAACATATGCACATGTATGTTCATTGCAGCATTATTCACAATAGCAAAGACATGGAATCAACCTAAATGTCTATCAATGGTACACTGAATAAAGAAAATGTGGTACATGTACACCATGGAATACTATGCAGCCATAAAAAGAATGGGGTCATATCCTTTTCAGGAACATGGATAGAGCTGGAAACCTTATCCTTAGCAAACTAATGCAGGAATAGAAAACCAAATATTGCATATTCTCACTTATAAGTGAGAGCTAATTGATGAGAACACATGGACACATGGGTGAGGGGGAAAGCACACACTGGAGTCTATTGGAGGATGGAGGGTGGGAGGAGGCAGAGGATCAGGAACAATAACTAATGGGTACTAGGCTCAATAACCTGGGTGATGAAATAATCTGTACAACAACCCCCATGATACAAGTTTACCTGTATAACAGACCTGCGCATGTACCCCTGAACTTAAAATAAAAATTAAATTTAAAAAAAGAATTTGTCATGTCTTGCTATTCAAAGTGAATTGCTACATCTGCTAAAGCTCTAAGTGACTTCCATAAAAAAAAAAAAAAACAGTTCTCTTCATCACACCTTAAGGAAAACAGCAACCTTCTGTATGCACACATTAATTAACACGGCAGAAATAGATTGGAGTTAATTATAGAGCCCTCCTACTTAAAAATGAGGAATAGGCTGGCTGCCAAGGAAGGCTGAGTGCCATGGAATAAGGTAAGAGAAGTGGAGAAAGCATGGCGTCTCTATCCCGTGTCCTCTTCTGAGAGCTGTCCCGCTGTTGAAATGCAAATGGTTTGGTGGTCAATGCCTCTGAGCTGGCCACAAACTCAGCAAGTCTCTCAGCTTTGAACATGTGCTCTCTTTAAGTAAAGGTCTTTCACCACTAGAAAAGATGCACACATCAATTATTAAGAAAGTATTATAGCAGGAGGAAGGAAAAATTGCATGTCATTTTCCTGGCATTCAATATTTTTTCATTATTTATTACTAGTATCCATCTATTTGGGGAAGAATAAGCAAATGCTTTTTTAAAAAAAAATCATGAATGTTTCAACCCAAGAGCTGGAGAGATATTGGGCAGCATGTTACCCAAGGTCCAGAAAACATACATTTGTTACTAAATCCCTTGAGTTTTCTTTTTCTGCTTCAAGCACACCAAGGAGAAGTATATTTGAGAATGCTACATTCCTCAAACCACTCCAGTCCTGTGTTTAACCTTCTGGTTTTTTGTAAGTACATATATCAGCCAGGAGTCTCATCTTGATTCCTCTAGCTAGTTCCTGCAGGTGTATAAACATTATCTGGCTTCTTCAAAGTAAAATATGTGTGGCATCACCAACAAGTACTACTAGAGTAAATAACATTTTCCATTACAAAGAGAGTGTATAACCCAAAGATTTTAAAGGAGCTCAGTATTCTACCTTCTCCAAGAATGAAACAGAATCATGTTTGACCAGTTATCACCGCCTACATGAATAGAGTATTGTGTCTTAAAGGCTATAAGACTCTCCCTCCCATAATAGAAGACAGACTCTAAAGAATCCAGTGATGAAGGGCACTTTACCCATTTAGAAAAAAACAGTGCAGCTCACTGCCAGTGCTCATTTAATTTTGCATTAACATGCTCTTCGAGGCTGAAGCAAATCTGACCAATTTTCAATGTGAAAATAAAATATAAAAACTGTTCTTGGAGTTATTTCTAAACAGAACAAACATCAGAATCGTCTGAATCATCAGAATCATCTATTCCAGAAAAATCGGACTCATCAAATGGGTCTGCACCCAACAACAGTTCGAGAATGATGTTAACATCACACGTAAGAATGCTGCGTTTTCTGGGATTTGACACTTTCGGCGATCGAGAATTACTATATTTTGTAAATGGAAATAGCACTACTAAAAACAGAATGCTATCGATAGAATGATGTCTTTTGTTTGCAAAGTCAATACACTGGAGCAATGTGAAAATAACAATAAAAGTGAGATATTTCGTGACAAACTTATCTCAGGGTAAATGCTGCCGCCGCAAGCGCCACCAGCAGGTATTCTCGGGGCAAATGGGAAAAGGGTTAATGGCAACCTGTTTCAATGGTCCCCAGACCTGGGTGTGCATGACAATCAACTGGGGAACATATTTGAAAGGCTTCTGAGCCGTTCTAGACATACTGAATCGTCTCTAATAGGACCCAGGCATCTGTATTTTGAAAATGCCTTCCCCCAAGCGGTTCTTATGGACAGCCCTATGTGGGTACCTCCCATCCAAATCCAAATTCCCACAGCGACACCCCAACCAAGCCGTCCTCCAGTCTTTGCTTAATTAATACCTCCCATGAGAGTGGACCCACCCGGTCTGTCCCTGGACAGCACCAACACTTGGGAAACAGCCTCCCTGGAACTCCCAGCCACTGGCTGTGCTGTCACAGGTGAGTAAGAGGAGCCTCATTTACACTGAAGCAGCAGCAGATTCTGCTACCTGCACCTAAAAAACCGTTGAAAGAAAGATGCATGCAAAGATGCAAATTGCAAGCTGTAAAAATGTAAGAGTATATGCTAAACTTTATTTTTATAAAAAATGATTTTCTTGTTGAATTAAATTCAAATAAGTGTTGAACTAAACACAGTTTAGAATGGACCCTACTGTCCTCTATGGTAGAAGTATAAGTGATTAAGAATACAATGCAAAGAATATAGGTTTTTAAACCACACCTTGGTTGGATCCTGGACCTTCTATTTACTGTCTGAGTGGCCTTGGGCATATTATTTGACCCCTCTGATTTCCATTTCTTGGAAAGCTGGGATAAAACTAATAGAATAGGGCTGTTGTTATGATACAGGCATTCAATAAATGTTAGTTCCCTTCCTTCCCCTTCTGTTTGTTTTTCTTCTATGATCAATTTGTCATAGGATCTTATCATTTCTTAAATATCTCCTGATCTAGTCTTTCTCTCCATTGCTAACACACCACCTACATGAGCATTCCTGTATTTCCTCAGCATCTCATTACTTAAATATTTAGGCTTGGAGGGAGATAGGAAATAAATGATTACTTAAGAGCAAGCATTGCAACTTTTTTCAGGAAGTTGTTCTCTTTGTTCAGGAAAATATCTTGAAATGCCACTTGGGGCAGCAGACACCCAGACAGCATGAGTTAGCAAGTGAAAAGGTAGCAAAAGAGGTAATTAAATTGTTCCTCATTTGAAGTGAACTGGACAGAGTAAGCACAGAAGAGAGGAGACAGGGGAGGGATGAGAGAACAGCAAGGCTGTGGGCACGCAACAGGAACAGGGGTTGAGAATCAGCAGAAGTCAGAGTCAAGGGGGACTTTTGAAGATGCCTGTGAAATGCAAGAAATCTTGGACCTTTCCAGAGTGTAGAGTGGAGTGTGATCCCATCATATCCAGCTCTTAGGGTTCAGGGCCTCCAGCTAACATCTAGGCTGAAATGAGTTCCTGCAAAGCCGTGTATCTTACCTCTCTGCCTCCCTGCTCTCTTTGTGCCATTCCTCTGCTCAGGAGCTCTGAGGATCCTTGCTCTGAGGATCCACTGTGGGACCCTGTGTTCTCTACTGCCAATTCCCGTCCGACAGTGTCAGTCTTTTAAACATACACCCTTTCAGGTACAGCATCTAACTCTCTGAATGTAACTTTCTGTAATATCCATTAGCAGAAAAAGATGTTGCCAAAATGTGACCTCTGTCCAAAAAAAAAAACAAAACAAAACCCAAACTATTTGGCAACTCTATTGGCTTGAACCCTTAGGAAAAAAATAATAATATGAATGATTTATTAAGCATTCACTGTGTGCCAGGCAATAGGCTAAGCATTTTACTTATATTCTGTCATTTAATCTTCACAAGAGCCCTCTCAAGTAGATATTACCCTTACCACTCTTTAGACATTCAAAGCAAAGCTCGCTGGAATTTGGTAACTCGCTGAAAGTCTCACAGATGGTAAGTGGCAGAGCTGGCCCTCAAAGCGGAACCTCTCTCCACCCTTGACCAGGATACCTCAATGAACTCACTTATCACCTGGATTAGGAGCAGGTTAGAAAGCTAAACTACTAAGATGCTCCTGAAAACTCCAAGTCTTCCTGAAGAAGAGCAAGGCCCTGTTCTGCAAGACACCCTAGATGATGCCAGCAAAAATCTGGAAACACTCCACGCCCTTGCTAGAATAGCTCTAACTCAGCATCGGCAGTTCCCAACTCAAGCTGTACATCAGAAATCCCCTAAGAACCCTGCCAAAATTGGAGTTTCTCAGGCCTCAATGCAGACCTACCGAAGAAAATCCTGTGGGAATGGGGTGGAAGAAAGGGCTACTTTTTAAAAAATGGTCTCCAAAGAATGTAGCCAGTTCCAGAAGTGGGGTTTAAGAAACAGTGTGATCCTATGCCACTCTTAGCTATAAGTCCTGCCACCTGAGTGCTTGTAGCACTTCTGGCTTCCATCATGAAAATAGTTCTATTTTAAAAGAAGTTGGAGGAAGTGTGGAGAATCTTAGTGTTAACATATGTTCATCTGAGGCTGTGTGGTTTCTCTTTGCTGCCTGTGGCCATAAGAAAACAGAGAGTCTTCTATCTCGGTGTGTGTTTATCAACCCCCAGCAAGGCTCTAATCAACCAGGGGCTCATCCTATTGTCCTTAATACAGAGGTGATAAACAGCCACTGAGCCATGCCAGAAACTTCTTCAAGACAAACAGAAGCATGCCTTTGGTAGAAGGTGGTGTTTTAAGCCACAGAAGTATCTAGTACATGTCTCACACCCAGTCCTGGTTAGTCCAGGAAGCCTAGTGTGGAAAGAAAAACTGACTGTCAGACATGTTCTCCACTCTGTTGGAGGAGATCAAAGAGGAGAGCAATGGGCTACTCCTCAGGCCTCGGGTTAAATGGAAGCAGACCTAATGAATGAGCTAGTGCTAACTAGGGGCCAGTTTCAGCCAGAAGTGTGTGGGAAGTTCATTTGGAGGAACTCCACGAATTGGCACACAGGAGAGATATACACCTAATTAAAGCTTCCTTTGAGAAGGTGATATTTTTGTTCTCCTCCTCTGGGAGAAGCACTAGACTTTTGAGACAGAAAATGCTGAAAGGCATTTTTATTATTTTAAAATCCTTCTTAATGGATAATTGATGAATGACTTTTATTAGACTTTATTTATAGAATTACCTGGTACTGTTAAAATGTCAAGGCTTGAGAAAATGTAACTTTGTTCCTAGCTGCTATTACTTTGAAGAAAAATAATGAGCATTGTGATACTCACGGAATGTTTGTTAATAGCTGGATGGACAACAGCTCAGAAATGTTTGCCTACACCAGTGGTTCTCAAACTCGGTACATCAGAATCACCTACTGGGCCCATCCTCTGAGTTTCTGATTTATTATGTCTGGGTCAGGACCCAAGAGCCTGCATTTCTAGCAAGCTCCCAGGTGATGCGGATGCTACTGGTCCAAGGACCACACTTTGAGAATCATTGACCCAGAGCATGAGCCCAATTTCCAAATGATCTGGGCTGAGACGCAGGCTGTCACTCTCACCAAACTCTAGGAACAAAGTGGCCGGATCTTCCTCCCTTCCTTGGCTACCAGAGGGACCATATAGCTTGGTTTCTCCAGGACAATCTTAGTTTACGTCTTTTACAACCAACTGACGCCTGTTAATTATCTGAGTACCTCCTTGCATCCTCAAAAGTGTCTCAGTTTAGATGATAATTGTTACAGTCACCCTAATGTTTGCTCCTATTTGCTTAACCCTAATCCGTAGGAATCCCACATACCTAAATGGAGGGTGCTCTCTTTCAGACAGAATTTGCTTTTGCCTTCTCTGACAGCCAGGGACACTGTAGACCTGGGATCACCTTAGCTGGGGTTGCAGCTTAACTTAGTGCCCTTAGCCCAAGGCTTACTCTCCTTACTACAGCATTGATAGCGGTGTTTGCCCTCACCCTGCTTTTCTGTTCTGGGTGCTACTTGTACACCTCTCCCTGCCTCCATTTCCCAGCTCTGGTTTTAGCTCAAGGGTGGTATTTTTGCTGCTGTTGATATTATGGCTGTTGTTATTTAGGGTTAGAGAGAGGTTCCTTGGAAGTTTCCCTTACTTCTTTTTTTTTAACATTTTATTGTGGAAATTTGCAAGCACATTCAAAAGTAGAGAGAATAATTTAATGAACTACCATGTACCCACCAGCTAACTCGAACAATTATCAACTCATTCCAATCTCATATCATCTATACCCCTACCCAGTTCTCCAACCTCCTTCCCTTCACACCACCATTGGATGATTGTGAAGCACAGCCCAACATCATATGATTTTAGCCATACGCACATCAGTAACAATTTTTAAAGAATAGGACTCTATTTTGAAATAATCAGTATGCCATTATCACACCTAAAAAGTGATAATTTTGTAACATCATTAAATATACAATCAGTGTTCACATTTCCCTAATCGTCTCGTAATTTCACTGGTTTAATTGTTGAAACAGAATCCATAGACGTTCTATACCTTGTATTAATAATTGGTTGATATCACTTTCTTTAATAATTTATGTTTCCCAAGCTATCTCTTTTTTATTCATTGTGCCTTATTTGTGGATGAAACCAGATAGTTTGTCCTATACAGTCATCTCTCAGTAACCGTGAGGGATTGGTTCTAGGACTCCCTGCAGGTAACAAAACCCATGGATGCTTAAGACCCTTATATAAAAGACATAGTATTTACATATCATGTATGCAGGTCTTCCTGTATACTTTAAATCATCTTTAGATTACTTACAATACCCAATACAATGTAAATGCTATATAAATATTTGCTATACTATATTGTTTTGGGAATAATTACAAGAAAAAAAAGTCTGTACCCATTTAGTACAGATGCAACCATCCATTTTTTTAAAAAAATCTTCAATCTGTTATTGGTTGAATCCATGAACTCAGAGTGCCAACTATAGTTCTCATAGAATGTGTTTTGCTGTTTGCATTCCTATGGTGTCATTCAACATGTTATTCTGTCCCCTGTGTCTCCCATAAATTGATAGGTCAGTCTAGAACTGTGCTGTCCAATACAGTAACCAAGAGCCACATGTGGCTATTTAAATTTAAATTAGTTATAATTCAACAAAATTTAAAACTTAGTTCCTCGGTCACACTAGTCTTATTTCAAGTGCTCAACACATGCATGTGACTACTGGCTACTACGTTAGACTGTGC